>NC_000022.11:15454318-15754318 GCF_000001405.40 Homo sapiens
CCAGAGCACAGCTGCTGGCTTCTGCGTGTTTTTCAATCACGTAGGATTCCAGAACAATTCTATGAGTGTCTGAATGTTTGTCTCTCACATAGGATTCCAGAACACTGCTGCTGGTTTCTGATTGTTTGTCCCTCACATAGGATTCCAGAACACTGCGGCTGGGTTCTGAGTGTTTGTCCCTCACATGGGATTCCAGAACACTGCTACGAATTCTGAATCTTTGTCCTTCACACAGGATTATGATACACTGCTGCTGGGTTCTGAGGGTTTTTACCTCACATAGGGTTCCAGAACACTGCTACAAATTCTGAATCTTTGTCCTTCACACAGGATTATGATACACTGCTGCTGGGTTCTGAGGGTTTTTACCTCATATAGGGTTCCAGAACACTGCTGCTGGGTTCTGAGTGTTTGTCCCCGACATAGGATTCCAGAACAGAGATGCTGGGTTCTGAGTGTTTGTCACTCACATGGAATTCCAAAATACTGATGTTGGGTTCGGAGTGTTTCTCCCTCACATACGAATCCAGAACACTGCTATGAGTTTCTGAATGTTTGTCCCAAACAGAGGATTCCAGAACACTGCTGGTGGGTTATGAGTGTTGTCCCTCACATACGATTTGAGAACACTGCTGCTGGGTTGTGAGTGTTTTTCCCTCACATAGGATTCCAGAACACTGCTGCAGGGTTCTGAGTGTTTAGCCCTCACATGGGATTCCAGAACACTGTTACGAATTTCTGAATCTTTCTCGATCACACAGGATTCCAAAACACTGCTGCCATTTTCTGAGTGTTTGTCCCTCACATAGGATTCCAGAACACTGCTGCTGGGTTCTGAGAGTTTGTCCCTCACATATGATTCCAGAACACTTCTAGGACGGTCTGAATGTTTGTCCATCACAAAGGATTCCAGAACACTGCTGCTGGGTTCTGAGTGTTTGTCCCTCACATAGGATTTCAGAACACTTCTAGGACGGTCTGAATGTTTGTCCATCACAAAGGATTCCAGAACACTGCTGCTGGGTTCTGAGTGTTTGTCCCTCACATAGGATTTCAGAACACTTCTAGGACGGTCTGAATGTTTGTCCATCACAAAGGATTCCAGAACACTGCTGCTGGGTTCTGAGTGTTTGTCCCTCACATAGGATTTCAGAACATAGCTTCAAGGGTCCCAATGTTTGTCCCTCACAAAGGAATCTAGAGCTCTGCTGCTGGTTCCTGTGTGTCACTCACATAGGATTCCAGAAAACTACTGCTGGGTTCGGAGTGTTTATCCCTCACATGGGACTTCCAGAACACTGCTTCTGGGTTCTGAGTGTCTCTCACAAAGGATTCCAGAACACTGCTGCTGGGTTCTGAGTGTTTGTCCCGCACATAGGATTCCAGGAGACAACTACTGTGTTCTGAATGTTTGTCCCTCACATAGGATTCCAAAACACTTCTACGAGTGTCTGAAATTTGTTCCTCAGGTAGTATTCCAGAACACAGTGGCTGGGTTCTGAATGTTTGTCCCTCACACAGGATTCCGGAACACTACTGCTGGGTTTTGAGGATTTGTCCCTAACATTGGATTCCCGAACCCAGCCACTGTGTTCTGAGTGATTGTCCCTCACATATGATTCCAGAACACTGCTTCGAGGGTCTGCAGGTTTGTCCCTGACAAAGGATTCTAGAACACTGCTGCTGATTTCTGAGTGTTTGTCCCTCACATGGTATTACAAAACACCGCTGCTGGGTTCAGGGTGTTTGTTCCTCACATATGATTCCAGAACACTGCTACGAGATTCCGAATTTTTGTCCCTCACAAACGATTCTAGAACATTGCTGTTGTGTTGTGAGTGTTTGTTCCTCATATAGGATTCCAGAACACAGTGGCTGGGTACTGAGCGTTTGTCCCTCACAAAGATTCTAGAACACTGCTCTGGGTCCTGAGTGTTTGTCCCTTAAATAAGACTCCAGAACACTTCTGCTGGGTTATGAGTGTTTGTCACTGACATAGGATTCCAGAACACTGCTGCTGGGTTCTGAGGGGTTGTCCCTCACATGGGATTCCAGAACACTGCAGCTGGGTTCTCAGTGTTAGTCCCTCACATAGGATTCCAGAATATTGCTACTGGATTCTGAGAGTTTTTCACTCACATAGGATTTCAGAACACTGCTAAGATGTTCTGAATGTTTGTCTCTCAAAAATGATTCTAGAAAACTGCTGCTGGGTTCTGAGTGTTTGTCCCTCACAAAGGATTCTAGGACACTGCTGCTGGGATCTGAGTGTTTGTCCCTCACATAGGATTCCAGAACACTGCTGCTGCGTTCTGAGTGGTTTTCACTCACATGGGATTCCAGAACACTGGTGCTGAGTTCTGAGGGTTTGTCCCTCACACAGGATTCCAAAACACAGCTGCTGGGTCTGAGTGTTTGTCCGTCACATAGCATTCCAGAACACTGTTGCTGGTTTCTGAGAGTTTGTCACTCACATAGGATTCCAAAAGCCTGCTTCTCGGTTCTGTATGTTTGTCTCTCACAAAGGATTCCCGAGCACTGCTGTTGGGTTCTGAGTTTTTGTCCCACACATAGGATTCCAGAACACGTCTACGATTATCTGAAAGTTTGTCCCTCAGATAGCATTCCAGAACCCACTTGCTGGGTTCTGAGTGTTTGTCCCTCACGTGGGATTCCAAAACACTGCTGCAGGGATGGGGGTGTTTGTTGCTCACAAGGGATTCCAGAACACTGCTAGGATGTTCTGAATGTTAGTCCCTCACAGAGTATTCTAAAACAATGCTGCTGGGTTCCGAGTGCTTTTCCCTCACAAAGGATTGTAGAACACTGCTGCTGGGATCTGAGTGTTTCTCCCTCACATATGATTCCAGAACACTTCTTCGAGGGTCTGAAATTTTGTTCCTCATAAAGGAAACTAGAACACTGCTGCTGGGTTCTGATTGTTTTTCACTCACATAGGATTCCAGAACACTGCTGCTGGTTTCTGAGGGTTTGTCCCTCACATACGAGTCCAGAACACACCTACGAGAGTCTGAATGTTTGTCTATCACAAAGGATTCCAGAACACTACTGCTGGATTCTGAGTGTTTGTCCCGCACATGGGATACCAGAACCCTGCTGCTGGGTTTTGAGTGTTTGTCCCTCACATAGGATTCCAGAGCACAGCTGCTGGGTTCTGACTGTTGTACCTCACATAGGATTCCAGAACACTGCTGCTGGGTTCTGAGCACTTGTCCCTCACATGGGATTCCAGAACACTGATGCTGGATTCAGAATGTTTGTCCCTCACATATGATTCCAGAGCACTGCTAGGAGGTTCTGAATGTTAGTCCCTCAAAAAGGATTCTAGAAAACTGCTGCTGGGTTTTGAGTGTTTCTTTCTCACAAAGGATTCCAGAACGCTGCTGCTGGGTTCTGAGTGCTTGTCCCTCACAAAGGATTCTAGAATACTGCTGCTGGGTTCTGAGGGTGTGTCCCTCATATAGGATTCCAGAACACTGCTGGTGGGTTCTGAGTGTTTATAACACACATAGTATTCTAGAACACTGCTGCTGGCTTCTGAGTGTTTGTCCCTCACATAGAATTCCAGAATACTGCTACGAAGTTCTGAAAGTTTGTCGCTGACATAAGATTCCAGAACACTGCTGCTGTGTTCTGAGTGGTTTTCCCTCATATAGGATCCAGATCACTGCTGCTGGCTTCTGAGTGTTTGTCCCTCACATAGAATTCCAGAATACTGCTACGAAGTTCTGAAAGTTTGTCGCTGACATAAGATTCCAGAACACTGCTGCTGTGTTCTGAGTGGTTTTCCCTCATATAGGATTCCAGATCACTGCTGCTGGGTTCTGAGTGTTTGTCCCTTACATGGGATTCCAGAACAGTGCTACGAGGGTCTGAGAGTTTATCCCTCACAAAGGCTTCCAGAACACTGCTGCTGGGTTCTGAGTGTTTCTCCCTCATATTGGATTCCAGAACAATACTACGAGGGTCTGAATGTTTTTCCCTCGCATGTGATTCCAGAACATGGTTACGAGGGTGTGAAATTTTTCCTTTCCAAATGACTCCAGAACACTGCTTCTAGGTTCTGAGTGTTTGTCCCTCATATAGGATGCCAGAATCCTGCTACGAGGGTCTGAATGTTTTTCCCACACGTAGTATTCCAAAACACTGCTACGAGGTTCTGAATGTCTTTCCCTCACAAAGGATTGTAGAACACTGCTACTGGGTTCTGTTTGTTTATCCCTCACAAAGTATTCAAGAGAACTGCTGCTGATTTCTTAGTGTTTCTCCCTTACATAGGAATCCAGAAAACTTCTACAAGGTACTGAATGTTTGCCCTCAGATTGGATTCCATTACACAGTGGCTGGATTATGAGTTTTTGTCCCTCACATAGGATTCCAGAACACTGTTACGAGGTTATGAATGCTTGTCCCTCACAAAGGATTCTAGAACACTGCTGCTGGGTTCTGAGTGTTTGTCCCTCACATTGGACTCCAGAACACTGCTGCTGGATTCTGAGTGTTTGTCGGTCACCTAGGATTCCAGAATACTGCTGCTGGGTTCTGTGCATTTGTCCCTCACATAGAATTCCAGAACACTGCTATGAAGTTCTGAAAGTTTGTCTCTCACATGAGATTCCACCAAACTGCTGTTGGATTCTGAGTGTCTGTCCCCCATATAGGATTCCAGAGCACTGCTGCTGGGTTCTGAGTTTTTGTTCCTCAAATAGGATTCCAGAACACTGTTATGAGCTTGTGAATGTTTTTCCCAACCAAAGGATACCGGAACACTGCTGCTAGGTTGTGAGTGTTTGTTCCTCAAAAAGGATTCCAGAACACTGCTACGAGAGTCTGAATGTTTTTCCCTCACAAAGCATTGTAGAACACTGAACCTGGGTTCTGTTTGTTTGTCCCTCACAAAGGATTACAGAGCGATGCTCCAGATTTCTTAGGGTTTGTCCCTCACATAGGATACCAGAACAATTCTCCGAGGTTCTGAATGTTTGCCCTCAAGTAGGATTCCAGTACACAGCCTCTGGATTCTGAGTGTTTGTCCCTCACATAGGATTCTAGAACACTTCTACGAGATTCTGATTGTTTTTCCCTCACAAAGGATTCTAGAACACTGCTTCTGGGTTCTGAGTGTTTGTTCCCTCACAAAGGATTCTAGAAGAGTGCTGCTGTGTTCTCTGGGTTAGTCCCTCACATAGGATTCGAGAACACTGTTGCTGGGTTCTGAATGTTTGTCCCTCACGTTGGATTCCAGAACACTGCAGCTGGCTTCTGAGTGTTTATTCCTCACATAGAATTCCAGAACACCGCTATGAAATTCTGAAACTGTGTCGCTTACATAGGATTTCAGAACACTGCTGCTTGGTTCTGAGTGTCTGTCCCTCACTTAGGATTCCAGAACACTGCTACGAGGGTCGGAATGTTTATCCCTCACAAAGGTTTCCAGAACAATGCTACTGGGTTCTGAGTGTTTGTCCCTCATGTTGGATTTGAGAACACTGCAGTGAGGGTCTGAATGTTTTTCCCTCACATAGGATTCCAGAAGACTGCTACAAGGTCTGAATATTTTTCCCTCACAAAGGATTGTACAATGCTCCTACTGAGTTCTGTTAGTTTGTCCTCAGAAAAGATTCCAGAACACTGCCACAGATTTCTTAGTGTGTGTCCCTCACTTAGGATTCCAGAACACTTCTCCGAGGTTCTGAATGTTTAGCCTCAGATAGCATTCCAGTACACAGTGGTTGGATTTTGAGTGTTTGCCCCTCACATAGGATTCCAGAACAGTGTTACGAGGTTCTGAATGTTTGTCCCTCACAAAGTATTCTAGAACACTTCTGCTGAGTTCTGAGTGTTTGTCCCTCACAAAGGATTCTAGAACACTGCTGCTGGATTCTGTGTGTTTGTCCATCACATAGGATTCCAGAACACTGCTGTTGGTTTCTGAGTGTTTGTCCCTCACTGCCATCTGAGTGTTTGTCCATGACATAGAAATCCACAACACTGCTACGATGTTCTGAAAGTTTGTCACACACATAGGATTCCAGAACACTGCTGCAGCGTTCTGAGTGTTTGTCCCTCACATAAGATTCCAGAACAGTGCTACAAGGGTCTGAATGTTTATCAGTCACAAAGTGTTTCAGATCACTGCTACTGAGTTGTTAGCATTTGTCCCTCATATTGGATTCCAGAACAATACCAAGAGGGCCCGAATGTCTTTCCAACACATAGGTTTCCAGAACACTGTTTCTATAGTTTGAATGTTTTTCCCTACCAAAGGATTCCAGAAGATTACTGCTGGATTCTGAGTGTTTGTCCCACATATAGGATTCCAAATCACTGCAACGAGGGTCTGAATGCTTTTCCCTCACATAGGATTCAAGAACACTGCTAAGATGGTCTGAATGTCTTTCCCTCAGAAAGGATTGTAGAACACTGCTACTGGGTTATGTTTGTTTGCCCCTCACAATGGATTCCAGAGCACTGCTGCAGATTTCTTAGAGTTTGTCCCACACATAGGATTCCAGAACACTTCTATGGGGTTCTGAATGTTTGCCCTCAGCTAGAATTCAAGTACACAATGGCTGGATTCTGAGTGTTTGTCCCTCACATAGGATTCCAGAACACTGTTACCAGGTTCTGAATGTTTGACTCTCACAAAGGATTCTAGAACAATGATGCTGGGTTCTGAGTGTTTGTCCCTCACAAAGGATTCTAGAACACTGCTGATGGGTTCTGAGTGTTTGTCACTCTCATAGGATTCCAGAACACTGCTGCTGGGTTCTGAGTGTTTGTCCCTCACTTAGGATTCAAGAACACTGCTGCTGGCTTCTCAGAGTTTGTCCCTCATATAGAATTCCAGAACACTGCTAGGAAGTTCAGAAAGTTTGTCGCTCGCATGGGATTCCAGAACACTGCTGCTGGGTTGTGAGTGTTTGTTTCACTCATAGGATTCCAGAACACTGCTTCTGGATTCTGAGTGTTTGTTCCTCACATAGGATTCCAATACACTGCTGTTGGGTTCTGAGTGTTTATCCCTCACAAAGTTTTCCAGAACACTGCTACTGGGTTCTGAGTGTTTGCCCTTATATTGGATTCCAGAACAATGCTACGAGTGTCTGAATGTTTTTCCCTCACATAGGATTCCAGAACACTGTTATGAGGGTGTGAATATTTTCCCTCCTAAAGGATTCCAGAACACTGCTGCTGGGTTCTGAGTGTTTGTCCCTGAGATAGGATTCCAGATCACAGCTTCGAGGGTCTGAATGTTTTTCCCTCACATAGGATTCCAGAACACTGCTACGAGGTTCTGAATGTTTTTCTCTCACAGAGGATTGTAGGACATTGCTACTGGGTTCTGTTTGCTTGTCCTCACAAAGGAATCCAGAGCACTGCTGCAGATGTCTTAGTGTTTATCCCTCACATACGATTCCAGAACACTTCTATGAGGTTCTGAATGTTTGCACTAATATATTATTCCAGTACACAGTGGCTGGATTCTGAGTAGTTGTCCCTCAGATAGGATCCCAGAACACTGCTACGAGGATCTGAATGTTTTTACCTCACAAAGGATTTTAGAACACTGCAACTGGGTTATGTTTTTTGGTCCCACACAAAGAATTCCAGGGCACTGCTGCAGACTTCTTGGTGTTTGTCCCTCACATAGGATTCCAGAACACTGTGACGAGGTTCGGAATGTTTGCTCTCAGATAGGATTCCAGTACACTGTGGCTGGATACTGAGTGTTTGTCCCTCACATAGAATTCCAGAACACTGCTACGAGGTTCTGCATGTTTGTCCTTCACAAAGGATTCTAGAACACTTCGGTTGGTTTCTGTTTGTCCCTCACAAAGGATTCTAGAACATTGCTGCTAGGTTCTGAGGATTTGTACCTCACATAGGATTCCAGAACACTGTTAGGAGGGTCTGAATTTTTGTCCCTCACATAGAATTCCAGAACACTGCTGCTGATTTCTCAGTGACTGTCCCTCACAGAGAATTCCAGAGCACTGCTACGAAATTCAGAAAGTTTGTCACTCACATAGGATTCCAGAACACTGCTGCTGGGTTCTGAGTGTTTCTCCCTCTCATAGGATTCCAGAACACTGCTGCTGGGTTCTAGTGTTTGTCTCTCACATAAGATTGCAAAACACTGCTACGAGGTTCTGAATGTTTATCCCTCATAAAGGTTTCCAGGAAACTGCTGCTGGGTTCTGAGTGGTTGCCCTCATATTGTCTTCCAAAACAATGGTAGGAGTGTCTGAATGTTTTTCCCTCACCTAGGATTCCAGAACACTGTTAGGAGGGTGTGAAAGTTTTTCCCTCCTAAAGGATTACAGAACACTGCTGCGGGGTTCTGAGTGTTTGTCCCTCACAAAAGATTCTAGAATACTGCTCCTGGGTTCTGTGTCTTTGTCCATCACATAGGATTCCAGAACACTGCTGCTGGGTTCTGAGTGTTTGTCCATAACATAGGATACCAGAACACTGCTGCTGGGTTCTGAGTGTTTGACCCTCTCATAGGATTCCAGAACACTGCTGTTGGGTTCTCAGTGTTTCTCCCTCACATAGGATTCCAGAACACTGCTACAAGTTTCTGAAGGTTTTTCCTTCACAAAGGATTCCAGAACACTGCTGCGGGGTTCTGTGTGTTTGTCAATCAAATATGATTCCGGAACACTTCTGCTCGGTTCTTAGTGTTTGCCACTCACATATGATTCCTGAACACTTCTACAAGGGTCTCAAAGTTTGTCACTCACATAGGATTCCAGAACACTTCTAGGAGGGTCTGAATGTGTGTCCTTCACAATGGATTCCAAAACACACTGGTGGATTCTGAGGATTTCTCCCTCACATAGGATTCCAGAACTCTGCTGCTGGTTTTCCAGAACACTGCTGATGGGTTCTGTGTCTTTGCCAATCAAATAGGATTCCAGAACACTGCTGCTGGGTTCTGAGTGTTTGTCCTACATATAGGTTTCCAGAACACTGCTACGAGTGTCTGAATGTTTGTCACTCACATAGGATTAGAGAATACTGCTAAGAGGGTCTGAATCTATGTCCCTCACAAAGGATTCCAGAACACTGCTGCTGGGTTCTGAGTAATTGTCCCTCACTTAGGATTACAGAACACTGCTACAAGGTTCTGAATATTTGTCCCTCACATCGGATTCCAGAACACTGGTACAAAGGTCTGAAAGCTTTTCCCTCACATCATTTTCGAGAAACTGCTCCTGGGTTCTTGGTGTTTACCCTCACATAGTATTCCAGAAAACTTCTCCGTGGTTCTGAATGTTTGTCCCTCACAAAGGATTCCAGAACACTGCTGCTGGGTTCTGAGTTTCTGTCACTCACATAGGATTCTAGGACAATTTTTCTGGGTTCTGAGTGAGCCTCACATCTTATTCCAGAACACTGCTATGAGGGTCTGAAACTTTGTTCCTCACAAAGGATTCCAGAACTCTGCTGCCGTGTTCTGAGTGTTTGTCCCTTACATAGCAATCTGGAACACTGCTGCTGGGATATGAGAGTTTGTCCCACACATAGGATTCCAGAACACTGCTGCTGGGTTCCGAGTGTTTGTCCCTCAAAAAGTATTCCGGAATACTGCTACTGGGTTCTGATTGTTTGTCCCTCTCATAGGATTCCAGAACACTGGTACGACGGTCTTAAGGATTCTCCGCAACATAGCATTCCAGAACATTGCTACGATGGTCTGAATGCTAGTCCCTCACATGGGATTCCAGAACACTGTTGCTGGGTTCTGAGTGTTTGTCCTTCACATAGGATTCCAGAACACTGCTGCTAGTTTCTGAGTGTTTGTCCCTCACATAGGATCCCAGAACTCTGATGCAAGGGTCTGAATGTTACTCCCTCAGATAGGATTCCAGAACACTGCTGCTGGGTTCTGAGTGTATGACCCTCACATAGAAATCCAGAACACTGATATGAAGGTTTGAATATTTGTCTCTCACATAGGATTCCAGAACACTGCTACAAGGGTCTGAATGCTTGTCCGTCACAAAGGACTCCAGAACACTGCTGCTGGGTTCTGAATGTTTTTCCCTCTCATAGGATTGCAGAACACAGCTACGAGGGTCTGAATGTTTGTCTCTCACATATGATTCCAGAACACTGCTATGATGGTCTGAATGCTTGCCCCTCATGTAGGATACCAGAACACGGCTGCTGGGTTTTGAGTGTTTCTCTGTCACATAGGATTCCAGAACACTGCTTTGAGGGTCAGAAAGTTTTTCTCTCACAAAGGATTCCAAAACACCGCTGCTGGGTTCGGGGTGTTTGTCCCTCATATAGGATTCGAGAACACTGCTACGAGGCTCTGAATGTTTGTGCCTCAGAAAGGAATCCAGCACACTGCTGCTGGGTTCTGAGGGTTGGTCCCTCACATAGGATTCCATAACACTGATAAGAAGGCCTGAATGTAAGTCCCTCACAAAAGATTCCAGACCACTGCTGCAGGGTTCTCAGTGTTTGTCCCTCACATAGTACTACAGAACACGACTGCTGGGTTCTGATTGTTTGTCCGTCACATAGCATTCGAGAACACTGCTACGGGGGTCTGAAGGTTTGTATCGCACATAGGACTCCAGAACACTCCTTCGAGGTTCTGAATGTTTGTCCATCACCAAGGATTCCAGAACACTGCTACTGGGATGTGAGTGTTTGTCCCTCACTTGGGATACCAGAACAAAGCTCCGAGGTTCTGAATGTTTGTCCCTCACTAAGGATTCTAGAACACTGCTGTTGGGTTCTGAGTGTTGTCCCTAAAATAGGATTCCAGAACACCGCTGCTGTATTCTGTATGTTTGTCCCTCACAAAGGATGGCAGAACACTGCTGCTGGTTTCTGAGTGTCTGTCCCTCATATAGGATTCCAGAACACTTCTATGAGTGTCTGAATATTTGTCCCCCACCTAGGATTTCAGAACACAGTGGCTGGGTTCTGATTGTTTGTCCCTCACATAGGATTCCAGAATACTGCTGTTGGGTTCTGAGTGTTTGTCCCTCACAAAGGATTCTAGAACACTGCTGCTGAGTTCTGAGTGTTTGTCCCTCACAAAGGATTCTAGAACACTGCTGCTGGGTTCTGAGTGTTTCTCCCTCACATAGGATTCCAGAACGCTGATGTTGGGTTCTGAGTGTTTGTCCCTCACAAAGGATTTTAGAACACTGCTGCTGGGTTCTGAGTGTTTGTCACTCACATAGGATTCCAGGGCACTGCTGCTGGGTTCTGAGTGTTTGTCCCTCACATAGGATTCCAAAACACTGCTGCTGGGTCTTGGTGTTTGTCCCTCACATAGGATTCCAGAAACCTGCTTCTGGGTTCTGAGTGTTTGTCACTCAGATCGGATTCCAAAACACTCCTGCTGTGTTCTGAATGTTTGTCCCTCACAAAGGATTGCTGAGCACTGCTGCTGGTTTCTGAGTGTTTGTCCTCACGTAGGATTCCAGAGCACTTCTACAAGTGTCTGAATGTTTGTCCCTCAGATAGGATTCCAGAACACAGTGGCTGGGTTCTGAGTGTTTGTCCCTTACTTAGGATTTCAAAACACACCTGCTGGGTTCTGAGTGTTTGTCCCTCACATGGGATTCCAGAAGACTGCTCCTCGTTTCTCAGTGTGTGTCCCTCACTTAGGATTCCAGAACACTGCTTCGAGGGTACGAATGTTTGTCCCTCAAAAAAGGATTCTAGAACACTACTGCTGTGTTCCAAATGCTTGTCACTCACATAGGTTTCCAGAACACTGCTGCTGGGTTCTGAGTGTTGTCCCTCACATACGATTCCGCAACACTTCTACGAGTGTCTGAATGTTTGTCCCTCAGATAGGATTCCAGAACACAATGGCTGGGTTCTGATTTTTTGTCCCTCACATAGGATTCCAGAACACTGCTGCGGACTTCTGAGTGTTTGTCCCTCAAAAAGTATTCTAGGACACTGCTGCTGGATTCTGAGAGTTTTTCCCTCACGAAGGATTCTAGAACACTGCTCCTACGTTCTGAGTGTTTGTCCCTTACCCAGGGTTCCAGAACACTGCTGCTGGTTTCTGTGTGTTTGTTCCTCACAAAGGATTCTGGAACACTGCTGCTGGGTCCTGAGTGTTTGTCCGTCACATGGGTTTCCAGAACACTGCTGCAGGGTTCTGAGTGTTTGTCCCTCACACAGGATTCCAAAACACTGTTGCTGGGTCTTAGTGTTTTTCCCTCGCAAAGGATTCCAGAACACAGCTGCTGGGTTCTGAGTGTTTGTCACTCAGATAGGATTCCAAAACACTGCTGCTGTGTTCTGTATGTTTGTCCCTCACAAAAGATTGCTGAGCACTGCTGCTAGTTTCTGAGTGTTTGTCCTCACGTAGGATTCCAGAGCACTTCTACAAGTGTCTGAATGTTTGTCCCTCATATAGGTTTCCAGAACAGAGTTGCTGGGTGCTGAGTGTTTGTCCCTCACATAGCATTGCAGAACAACGCTGCTAGTTTCTGAGTGCTTGTCCCTCACTAGGATTCCAGAACCTTGCTTCTGGGTCTTAGTGTTTGTCCCTCACTTAGGATTCCAGAACACTGCTGCTTGGTTCTGAGTGTGTGTCCCTCACTTAGGATTCCAGAGCACTGCTTCGAGGGTATGAATGTTGGTCCCTCACAAAGGATTCTAGAACACTACTGCTGTGTTCCAAATTCTTGTCACTCACATAGGTTTCCAGAACACTGCTGCTGGGTTCTGAATGTTTTTCCCTCACAGAGGATTCCGGAACACTATTCCTGGGTTCTGAGTGTTTGTCCCTCACATAGGATTCCAGAACCCTGCTGTTGGGTTCTGAGTATTTCTCCCTCCCATATGATTCCAGAACACTTCTTCAAGGGTCTGAAGTTTTGTCCCTCATAAAAGATTCTGGAACACTGCTACTGGGATCTGATTGTTTTTCACCCACATAAGATTCCAGAACTCTGCTGCTGGGTTCTGAGTGTTTGTCCCTCACATGAGATTCCAAAACACTGCTGCTGGGTTCAGAGTGTTTGTCCCTCACAAAGGATTCTAGAACACTGCTGATGGCTTCTGTGTGTTTGTCTCTCACAAAGGATTCTAGAACACTGCTGCTGGGTTCTGAGCGTTTGTCCCTCACAAAGGATTCTAGAACACTGCTGCTGGGTTCTGAGCATTTGTCCCTCACAAAGTATTCTAGAACACTACTGCTGGGTTCTGAGTGTTTGTTCCTCACATAGGATTCTAGAACAGAGCTGCTGGGGTCTGAGTGTATGTCACTCACATAGGATTCCAGAAAACTGTTGCTGGGTTGCGAGTGTTTGTCCCTCACATACGATTTCAGAATACTCTTAAGATGTACTGAATGTTTGTCCCTCACGTAGGATTCCAAAACACTGCTGCTCAGTTCTGTATGTTTGTTCCTCACAAAGGATTCCTGAGCACTGCTGCTGGTTTCTGAGTGTTTATCCCTCACATAGGAGTCCGGAACACTGCTGCTGGGTCCTGAGTTTTTGTCCCTCACGTAGGATTCCAGAACACTGCTAGGAGGGTCGCAATGTTTTTCCCTCACAAAGGATTCCAGAATACTGCTGCTGAGGTCTGTGTGTTTGTCCCTCACAAAGGTTTCCAGAGCACAGCTATTGGTTTCTGAGTCTTTGTCCCTCACATAGGATTCCAGAACACCTCTACGAGTGTCTGAATGTTTGTCCCTCATATAGGAAACCAGAACACAGTGGCTGGTTTCTGAGTGTTTGTCCCTCACATAGATTTCCAGATCACTGCCACTGGGTTCTGAATGTTTGTCCTCACATAGGACTCCACAACACTGCTCCTGGGTTGTGAGTGTTCTCCCTCATATAGGATTCCAGAACACTGCTGCTGGGTTCTGAGTGTTTGTCCCTCACATAGGATTCCAGAACAGTGCTACTGGGTACTGATTGTTTGTCCCTCACATAGGAATCCAGAACTCTGCTACGAGGGTCTGAATGTCTGCCCATCACAAGGGATTCCAGAACACTGTTGCTGGATTCTGAGTGCTTTTCCATGACATAGTATTCGAGAACACTTTTGGTGAGTTTGAGTATTTGTCCCTCATATAGGCTTCCAGAACACTGTTGCTGGGTTGTGAGTGTTTTTCTCTCACGTGGGATTCCAGAACACTGCTGCTGGGTTCTGAGGTTTTGTCCCTCACTTAGGATTCCAGAACACTGCTGCTAAGTTCGGAGTTTTTCTTGCTCACATAGGATTCCAGAACACTGTTGCTGGTTTCTGAGTGCTTCTCCTTCAAATAGGATTCCAGAACATTGCTAGGCGGTCTAAATGTTTGCCCATAACAACGGATTCCAGAACACTGATGCTGGGTTCTGAGTGTTTGTCCCTCACATGGGATTCCAAAACACTGCTGCTGGGTTCAGAGTATTTGTCCCTCATGTACGATTCCAGAACACTGCTACGAGGTTCTGAATGTTTGTCCCTCACAAAGGATTCCAGAACAGTGCTGCTGGGTTCTGAGTGTTTGTCCCTCACAAAGGATTCCAGAACTCTGCTGCTGGATTCTGAGTGTTTTTCCCTCACAGGATTCCAGAACACTGCTACGAGGGTCTGAATGTTTATCCCTCAGATAGGATTCCAGAAACACCGTGGCTGAGTTCTGAGTATTATTCCTTCACATAGGATTCCAGAACACTGCTGCTGGGTTCTGAATTTTTGTCTCTCACATAAGTTTCCAGAATCCTGCTACTGGGTTCGGAGTGTTTTGCCCACACATACGATTCCAGATCACTTCTTCGAGGGTCAGAAGGTTTGTCCCTCTCAAAGGATTCTAGAAAACTGCTTCTGGGTTCTGATTGTTTTTCACTCACATAGGATTTGAGAACCCTGCTGCTGGGTTCTGCGTGTTTGTCCCTCACATGGGATTCCAGAAGACTGCTACTGTGTTCTGTATGTTTGTCCCTCACGTAGTATTCGAGAACACTTCTACGAGTGTCTGAATGCTTGTCCCTCAGATGGGATTCCAGAACACAGTGGCTGGGTTCTGAGTGTTTGTCCCGCACACAGGATTCCAGAACACTGCTGATGGGTTCTGAGTCTTTGTCCCTCACAAAGGATTCTAAAACTCTCCTACTGGGTTCTGAGTGTTTGTCCCTCACATAGGATTACAGAACACAGCTACGACGGTCTGAATGTTTCTCCATCACAATGCATTGCAGAACCCTGCGACTGGGTTCGAAGTGTTTGGCCCTCATATGCGATTCCAGATCACTTCTTTGAGGGTCAGAAGGTTTGTCCCTCACAAAGGATTCGCGAACCCTGCTGCTGGGTTCTGCGTGTTTGTACCTCACATGGTATTCCAAAACACTGCTGCTGGGTTCTGAGTTTTTGCCCCTCACAAAGGATTCCAGAATACTGCTTTAGGACTGTGAGTGTTTGTCCCTCACAAGGGATTCCAGAGCACTCCCGCTGGTTTCTGAGTGTTTTTCCCTCACATAGTATTCCAGAACAGTGCTTTGAGGGTCTGAAGGTTTGTCCCTCACAAAGGATTCTAGAACACTGCTTTTGGATTTTGAGTGTTTGTCACTCACATAGGATTCCGCAACACTGCTTCTGGCTTCTGAGTGTTTGTCCCTCACATGGGATTCCAAAACACTGCTGCTGGGTTCAGAGTGTTTGTTCCTTACATGGGATTCCAAAACACTGCTGCTGGGTTCAGAGTGTTTGTCCCTCACATACGATTCCAGAACACTGCTACTAGTTTCTGAATGTTTGTGCCTCACAAAGGATTCTAGAACACTGCTGCTGGGTTCTGAGTGTTTGTCACTCACATAGGATTCCAGAACACTGCTTCTGGCTTCTGAGTGTTTGTTCCTCACATGGGATTCCAAAACACTGCTGCTGGGTTCAGAGTGTTTGTCCCTCACGTACGATTCCACAACACTGCTACTAATTTCTGAATGTTTGTGCCTCAGAAAGGATTCTAGAACACTGCTGATGGGTTCTGAGTGTTTGTCCCTCACATAGGATTCCAGAACACTGCTGCTGGATTGTGAATGTTTTTCCCTCACGTGGGATTCCAAAACTGTGCTGCTGGTTTCAGAGTGTTTGTCCTTCATATACGATTCCAGATCACTGCTACTAGTTTCTGAATGTTTGTGCCTCACAAATATTCTAGAACACTGCTGCTGGGTTCTGAGTGTTTTTCCCTCACATGGGATTGGAGAACACTGCTGCCACATTCTGTCTGTCCCTCACATACGATTCCACAACACTGCTACGAGTCTCTGAATGTTTGTCTATCACAAAGGATTCTAGAACACTGCTGCTGGGTTCTGAGTGTTTGTCCCGCACAGAGGATTCCATAACACTGCTGCTATTTTCTGAGTGTCACTCACATAGGCTTCCAGTACACTGCTGCTGTGTTCTGAGTGTTTGTCTCTCACCTAGTATTCCAGAACGCTGCTGCTGATTTCTGAGTGTTTGTCCCTCACATCGGATTCCAGAACACGGCTGCTGAGTTCTGAGTGTTTGTCCCTCACATAGGATTCCATAAAACTGCTGCAGATTTCTTAGTGTTTGTCACTCACATAGGATTCCAGAACCCTGCTGCTGGGTTCTGAGTGTTTCTCCCTCACATGGGATTCCAAAACACTGCTGCTGGTTTCAGAAAGTTTGTCCCTTACACACGATTCCAGAACACTGCTACGAGGTTCTGAATGTTAGTAACTCACAAAGGATTCTGTAAGACTGCTGCAGCCTCCGAAAGTGCTGGGATTACAGGCATGAGCCACTGTGACCGGCCATTCATTTATTCTTAGGTTTTTTTTCTATTAATGCCTACTGTGTGTCAGGACCTACGGATGCAGATTATAGAAGATATATGTACACTGGTGAAGGTGATAGGAGAAATACTGGATTTAAAAGAGGAAGTGCATGGAAATGATATGAAATACATAGGAATTGTGCTAAACCCAAAGTTGGGCAGGGGGAGAGTGTTAAATAAATCTTTACAGAGGAAGTGCCATATAAGTTGAGACCTCATCATGGAGTTTGAGGGAACGAGAAGGGCACAAAGAAGTGGGAAATGGGTTGGGGGTGCGATGTGAAAAAGAAACCATTTCGGTAAAGGGAAGAGCATGTAAAGTCCCGTAAAGAAAACTTTAAATTTGAAGATGTAGAAATGCAAAACCAGCCTCAGAATGGTTGGATTGCGAAGGAGGAAGTGGTAACAGTTTGGAGCCTTTTGAGTAGGGTATGTCCAGGACCGTCTGTTTCATGCCTGCAGTTCCAGCATTATTACAAATAAATAGCCTTTCTCCCACTTTCAATTGTTTCCCTATTTGGAGGATAAATTATATGGCCACACCTGAAATCGTAAGCTTATTAAAAAGTGGAAAGTGATTCAAAGGATTTGAAGGAAGAAGTGACATGTCACTCCATATGTAGACCAGCCTTTTGAGGCATTGGAAGGTGTAGAATGGGAGAAATGCAATGCTGAATGAAGGAAGGCCAATAGGAGCCTGTAGAAATAATTCAGATGATAGAACACTAACACTTTGGTCTGCAAGGTGGGCTGATCACCTAAGGTCAGGAGTTTGAGACCAGCCTGGCCAACATGGTGAAACCCTGTCTCTACTAAAAATACGAAAATTACCCGGGCATGGTAGCAGTTGCCTGTAATCCCAGCTACTTGGGAGGCTGAGGCAGGAGAATCACTTGAACCTGGGAGAAGGAAGTTGCAGTGAGCTGAGATTGTGCTCTTCACTCCAGCCTGGGTGAAAGAGTAAAACTCCCTCACACACACACACACACACACACACACACACACACACAAGCACATACACACACACACAAAAGCACACGATTGAGGTCCTAATGAAAGAGTATGGGATGGGTGGAAGGAAGCATGGGGGATGGGCAGCTTGAGGGACAACTTCAATATGTGGTCTTGGAATAACTAATACTTTCGGATAAAAATAGAACAGTTGCCACTGGAGTGAACTCCAAATATATTAAAAATTTAAGTGTAAAAAGTTGAACCATAAGAATATTATTGGGCCGGGCGCTGTGACTCACGTCTGTAATCCCAGCACTTTGGGAGGCCAAGGCGGGTGGATCACGAGGTCAGGAGATCGAGAGCATCCTGGCTAACACGGTGAAACCCCATCTCTACTAAAAATATAAAAAATTAGCCGTATGTGGTGGCGGGAGCGTGTGGTCCCAGCTACTTGGGAGTCTGAGGCAGGAGAATGGCATGAACCCGGGAGGCGGAGGTTGCAATGAGCAGAGATTGCGCCACTGCACTCCAGCCTGGGCGACAGAGAGAGACTCCATCTCAAAATAAAAAAAGAAAAAAAAAGAATATTTTTAATCGAAAAATATATATTAGAAGAAAATTTGAAAGTTATACGATCATGGGCCAGGAGCAGAGGCTCACGCCTGTAATCCCAGCACTTTGGGAGGCCAAGGCAGGCAGATTATGAGGTCAGCAGATCGAGACCACCCTGGCTAACATGGTGAAAACCCATCTCTACTAAAAATACAAAAATTTAGCCGGGCGTGGTGGCATGCACCTGTAGTCCCAGCTACTCGAGAGGCTGAGGCAGGAGAATGGCATGAACATGGGAGGTGGAGCTTGTAGTGAGCTGAGATTGCGCCACTGCACTCCAGCCTAGGGGACAGAGGGAGACTCCATTTCAAAAAAAAAAAAAAGAAAAAAGAAAGTTATGTGAATATGGAATAGAAAAGCATTTGAAACACAAAGACAGGAATACACACATACAGACACACAAACACGCACCCATAAAGGAAGTAATATTTTAAAATCCTTAAGTGAGGTTAGAAGGAATCATTTATTAATATACATGATTTATGATATTTGTCCTTAATAAGATGTCATAATTTATTATGTTTCCTTTATTTTTCCTTTTACAAAGTGACTTGATACTTAAAAGGAAATAGAAATATTCTTTTTTGATAATACATAATTGTATTTTTCATTCAAATTAAAAAGAAAGCAATAGCCCCTATCTTCCTTGATTTATTAGTGAGGACGAGTATCTTTTCCTAAAGTTACATGTTTTTCTTCTTCTTGGCTAGCTGCATTACCTTGCAACCCTTTCTGTGTGTGTGTGTGTGTGTGTGTGTATATATACACACACATATATATATACACATACATACATGTATATATATACACATATATATGTATGTGTGTATGTGTGAATATGTATATATATATATAAAGTATGTGGTTTTGTCCCAGTATATTCTATGGGATCATAGAATGCACTAATTACTGTGATTTTTTTTTTTTTTTGCTTTTAATATTTTTGGTATTTTGTAGCCTTCTTTTTGTGTCAACAAAATTATCGATTTAATTTTTCCTTATAGATGAACCTTTGTTATTTCTGCTTTTCTGCTGTTTAAATAACACTATGATGCACATCTTTTGTATATTAGACAATTTTATGGATTTTGTCAAAATATACTTTAATTAGGACAGTAAATTATTGGTGCATACATAATGTTTGTACATTTTACAGTTTTGATCATTATTTCCAGCTGGTTGTTAAGACAGACCTTCTCGAGCACCTGCAGTATAGTGCATGAGAAGGCATGTTTCCTTATGCTGTTGCAATTTGCATAAGCTCTTTTTAATTAATATTCTTTTTTTTTTTTGAGACAGAGTCTCACTCTGTTGCCCAGGTTGAAGTGCAGTGGCACAATCTCAGCTGACTGTAACTTCTACCTTCTGGTCTCAAACTATTCTCCTGCCTCAGCCTCCCAACTAGTTGGGACTACAGGTTCGTGTCACCACACCTGGCTAATTTTTGTATTTTTTGTGGAGTTGGGGTTTTGGCATATTGGCCAGGCTGGTCTCGAACTCCTGGCCTCAAGTGATCCACTCACCTAGTCCTCCCAAAGTGCTGGGTTTACAAATGTGAGTCACCATACACAGCCTCAAGTAATATTCCTTTCTAGCTTTTCTAGTTGATCACCACTAGAATGTAAGCTACATGAGAGTAGGGAATAAAAGTTGCAGACGTATAGCAAGCTTTCGGTGAGTACTGCATGATTAAATAATGGTTAGTAAAAATTTTATGTTATTCCTAATGAATTGTGATTGACATAAGAGTATAAAATCATTATTATATATTTCTCCTCAGTTATTTCTCTTTAATCTTACATGCATTTTGTAAGACTGTGTAGAAATATGTACTTTTATGTAGTAGAATTTGGTGTGCTTTTTCTTTATGACTTCTGGGCACTGAGTTAGCTTAGAAAGGACTGCCATTCTTCATGACAACTTCAGGAAAATTTTCTTTCTTATTTTCTTTTGACTTTTTAAAAAATTGAATTTTAAAGTTTGAAATCATTAATCTGTATGAAAATTTGGTGTATGGTATAAGAAGTGGTTCTAGTTTTTTTAATTCCAGTGGATAGCAATTTTCTCACAGTCTGATTTGTCTTTATTATATACATGAATCTGTTTTGAACTCTTGGTTTGATTGTTGTTAATTTGGTTATCTTATCATTTTAGTAATTATAGCATGATACCTGCTAAGGCCAAATTTCTATCATTATTCTTGCAAATGTATTTTTCCTGAAGAAATTTAGAATTCTCTCTTCATGTCATTAAAAAAACCCATTGGGATGCAGTTGAATTTTCCAGTGAAAGAACATGGCAATTTATTTATTTAGGTCAAATTGTTTCTTACATAAACCTGGAATATTTCCTGCTAAGTCTGTTCCCAGGCCTGATGTGTATGTGTGTGTGCATGCACTCATATATTTATATGTATACACACATATACATGTATATAAATTAATTTTCTCCAATGTATACTATTTATTGTTTTCTAACAAGTATATTGTTTCTATACAGTAAATATGTTAATTTCCATAATACTTATTTTATGTCACCTTACTGATATATATTATTTTTTAAAATGTTCGATGTTATGTTATTAAGATTTTTAAATCTTTTCCTTTTTAGTAATTACAGATCATTTTCCCCTTACCTTATTGCCTTGATATGACTTGCACAAAAAAAATGTTCAAAACTTGTAGTAAATAAAGGATATGTTTTTGTTTTTCTGTACTTTTATGGGGATACTTCTGTGCTTCCTGTTATTATACCTCTGTGCTTCCTGTTATTATCATCAAACATCCTGTATAATGTTTGTTGCTGGTTTCTGATAGAATATTTTACAAAATTTTGTTCTGTCATTTTTTTAAAAAATCAAGATTATATTACATTTTGTCAAATGCCTTTATGGTACTTATCAAAGTGATCATAGAAGCTTTTTTAGTTGTTAACATAAATAATAATGTGCAGATATTTATATTGACAAAACATTAAATTCTTGGGGTTAAATCTTCTTTTTGATAAAAAAAGATTGTTTTTTATTATACTTTAAGTTCTGGGGTACATATGCAGAATGTGCAGGTTTGTTACATGGATATACACGTGCCATGGTGGTTTGCTGCCCCCATCAACCTGTCACCTACATTAGGTATTTCTCCTAATCCTATCCCTCCACTAGCCCCTCATCCCCCAACAGCACCTGGTGTGGGGTGTTCCCCTCCCTGTGTCCGTGTATTCTCATTGTTCAACTCCTACTTATGAGTGAGAACATGAGGTGTTTGGTTTTCTGTTCTTGTGTTAGTTTGCTGAAAATGATGTTTTCCAACTTCATCCATGTCCCTGCAAAGGATATGAACTCATCCTTTTTAATGGCTGCATAATATTCCATGGTGTATATGTGCCACATTTTCTTTATCCAGTCTATCATTGATGGACATTTGGGTTGGTTCCAAGTTTTTGCTATTGTGAACAGTGCAGCAATAAACATCCACTTGCATGTGTCTTTGTAGTAGAATGATTTATAATCCTTTGGGTATATGCCCAATAATGGGATTGCTGGGTCAAATGGTATTTCTGGTTCTAGATCCTTGAGGAATTGCCATACTGTCTTCCACAATGATTGAGATAATTTACACTCCCACCAACGGTGTAAAAGCGTTTCTATTTCTCCACATCCTCTCCAGCATCTGTGGTTTCCTGACTTTTTAATGATCACCATTCTAACTTGCATGAGATGGTATCTCATTGCGGTTTTGATTTGCATTTCTCTAATGACCAGCAATGATGAGCTTTTTTTCTTATGTTTGTTGGCTGCATAAATGTCTTCTATAAAAGAAGATTTTTACATCTGATTTTGTAATATATTACTTAGGTATTTTAAAAAATCATCCGGAGACCAAAGTTGTGCTGTCATCTTTTCATACTTTCTGGTTAGGTTTTGCATTTGGGTTGTGAGACCTTTGAAAAAGAAATGTTATGTTTTACTATGTGTTGGAATGCTGTAAATAAAACAGAAAACTTTAATACAACCCTTCATTTTGTTCAAATGCCATTTCTGAGGAAAATTTTTTGACAGTGCTTTCAATTTATTCTGTAGTTATCGAGTTGATCCAGCTTTCGGGCTTCATTATTTATTTTTTCCTAGGAAACTTAACATTTTATTAAGATTTCAAGCACGTTCCAGTGGTTTTCAATGCATTCTGTTGATTTGTATCTGAAGTTCTGTCTTGTTTCTCAGTGCTATTAATATACAATGTTTTCTCTAGCTCCTTGCTGTGCATACTAGAAATGCCTAATTATCTCATCTCTCAAAAGAACTGGCTCTTTATTATCAATTCTATTTTTCTTTCTTTTTTTCTTTTTTTTTCTTTTTTTTTGAAACTAAGTCTCACTCTGTCACCCAGGTTGAAGTGCAGTGGTGTGATCTCCACTCCCTGCAACCTCAACCTCCCAGGTTCAAGCAATTCTCCTGCCTCAGCCTCCCAAGTAGCTGAGATTACAGGCACATGCCACCGTGGCTAACTAATTTTTGTATTTTTAGTAGAGATGCAGTTTCACCATTTTGGCCAGGCTCATCTCAAGCTTCTGACCTCAGGTGATCCTCCTGCCTCATCCTCCCAAAGTATTGGGATTATAAACGGTAGCCACTGTACCTGGTCTAACTCTTTTCTTTATATCTGTCTTTGCTTTCATTTAGTGGAATACTTAGCTTTCACACTTGTTTAATTACAAATGCATGTAAGAATGTGTGGCTTTCTTTTAAATTTCTTTCACCTTCCATGGACATCATGTATGTCATATTGGCATTTATATTAATTTCTTGATTGTCTATAATACATTTTAATAACTTCAATATCCTGACTTATTTAAATTTGGGAGGTAGTCTGGGTTTCATTTTTTTATTTTTTTATATTTACAGATGTACGTATTTTATATTTGCAGATGCTAATTTCTAGTTTGATCCATTTTTATCACAATATAGAACCTGTTAACCTTTTTAGTGTAAAATTTGTTAAAGATGTTTGTTTGCTAGTTTGGTCAACTTTGGCAAATATATGAAGGAAAAGAATAGCTATATGGAAAGGATTTTTAAAAATGTGTGTATGTTCCTCTACAAGTTTATAGATAAACTTAAATATTCAAAGTGACTATTCCTAAAATAAGATAATCATTAAAGTTAATTGTAATAGGTAATAAATCAATAATATGAAGTCTTTACTATGGACCAGCCTTTTTGCTGTGCACTTTCATGTATTATCTCTTTAATCATTGTGAAGCCCTATTAAGAAGTAGGTACAAATATTAACTCTTTTGTTGGGGGGGATAGGGTCTCACTCTGTCACCCAGGCTGGAGTGCAGTGACCTGATCTTGGCTCACTGCAAGCTCCACCACCTGGGTTTACACCATTCTCCTGCCTCAGCCTCCCGAGTAGGTGGGACTACAGGCGCCTGCCACCACGCCCAGCTAATTTTTTGTATTTTTAGTAGAGACAAGATTTCACCATATTAGCCAGGATGGTCTTGATCTCCTGACCTCGTGATTCACCTGCCTAGGTCCCCCAAAGTGCTGGGATTACAATTGTGAGCCACGCTGTCCGACTAATATTAACTCTTTTTAAAGATTAGGAAAACTAAAGCTCAAAAACTTGTATCCAGAAACTAAACAGGACATTTAACAGATTTGTGCATGTGTGTGTGTGTGTGTGTGTGTGTGTGTGTGTATTTCGGGGATTTTTCTGTGTTCTATACCTAATAAAGAACACAAGTATGTCTTTCTTACTGGTTCACAGGATGGTCTTCTTATTTTTGTTTCTAGCACATAGCACTGTGCTTGCAACATTGGGATTCCCAGTAAACTGAATTCAATGTAAATTATTAAATGTTTGATGAAATTTTTATTCCATTATAGCCTTTGTCTCTTCATATAAGACAATTCTGTACGTTTATATGACATTCAAACTTTTCTTTCATATTCTTTAAGTCATAATAGTATAAGATTGCGATTTTGTTCATTTTACTCTTTAGGAATCTCTTGCTCTGTTCAGAAGAATGCCAACACTTCTTTTGTATAACCTGTTACCATCAAGTCTTTAATAGTTAGAAAATGACTTGATATTCTGTAACAATAGTGTCACCTGAGAACTGTCAAAAATTGAAAGATTATACCCAGAATGAATTGATCAGTCAATTGCCATATTAAAAAATAGATTATTCTTATTAGTGAATAATGTCAGCAAAATCCAATTCAGGAAAATAAGCGCAGTATAAAAAAATAGATGTCTGAAAATGTAAAGAAGTAAGTAGCCAAAGGCCTAACTAGATTAATTGAATGTGAATACTCCCTGCAGCAATGAAATAGACAAAAGCAATAATGTCCATAACATTTAGGAGCATTGATGGAGGGATCTTGTTCTATACACAGACTTTATTTCTAGGGGAAACAAAGATAGTCATTAATAAATCAGAACCATTTCTAAGCATCAAATTGCCACATTAAAGGCAAATTAACCTGTATGAGTCATCATTCCAGGGGCTCACTTTTGATGAAACAATGAAGTGACATCATCTCTAGAATACAGCATTATAATTTTGGAAGTCAGGGAAAATTTGGTAGATTTTTTTAAAAGGCAATAAAATGAGAAGATTTGTTGTAATTTTTAGCTTCCAAAAATTCACTTAACAGAAATTACTCACTGCCTGAGCATGCAAGATGGATGAGGCTTCATTAAAGCAAACTGAAGGAAAAAGTTAAGCTTCCTTCTGGAGGGATAAATCAATGTTACTCATCCTTATAAGCTGGACACTTAATTCTGTGAACCTGACAGATACTTATGACATAAAGTTGACCCCAGGGGGTCCAGTGCAGTGAGTGTTTGTGAGTCCAATGAGTTGCAAGGCCTAGGGTTCAATTTCCTGCAGATTCTTGTGAGCAACAGGTAAACCGTCAGTTGTGATTGGTGGTTCTGGCATGCGGAAATAAAATTTCCATTTAAGTATTGCCTTTTGAAAGGCAAGTCTGTATATTAAAGAATAAAATCAACTCAGTTAAAACAGGATAATAGAATGAAAAATTTGTTTTAGTTGTCCAAAATTAAAAATGTTGCTATTCAACAATAATTGTAAAATAAATTAAAATTATGAAAATAATGCCTATGAAATTGTTTTGGAATGTAGACATGGAACAAAGCTAAGGAGAAAAAAATATTTAGCTGATGTTCTTAATATTGCCTGTCAATTATCAAAATTGCTTTATTTAAAAACATTTTATTCAGCTATCTCTATTTTACTATGTACAAGATAGTTGCCATAGATACAAAGATAGTAGGCATTCCCAGTGTTCTTTATTCCTCTGTATGTACTCACATTTCCATCTGTCAACATTTTCCTCCCATCTGAAGTCTTTCTGTGACATCTCTTGCAATGCAAGTCTGCTGGTGATGAATTCTTTTAGCTTTTGCATATCTTTAAAAAGTTTTCAATACCCCTTCATTTCTAAAAGATATTTTTGCTAGGTATAGAATTCTAAGTCAACAGTATTTTTCTCTGAGTATTTTAAAGATATTGCTCCATTGTTTTGTGGCCCACATTGTTTCTGATGAGAAGTGTGCTGTAGTTTTTAATCCTTATTCTTTTATATATAATGTGTTTTTTTCCTTTGGATGATTTTAATATTTTCTTCCTGGTTTTAAGCAATTTAGTGGTATTGTATGTTTTCTGTGTGTGTGGGTACATTGAGTTTCTTGAACATGTGGTTTTATAGTTTTTTCATCATATTTGGACTATTTTCTGCCATATTTCTTTAAATAGTTTTCAGCAACTGCCCCCTTTCTTTGGAGATGCCAGTTAACACATATATTAGGCCATTTAAAGTAGTTCCCCAGATCACTAAGCCCGGTTCATAATTTCTCAGTATATTTTCTCTTTGTGTTTCATTTTAGACAGCTTATGTTGCTTACTCTACAAGATTACTTTTCCTTCTGCAGTAGCTATATTAATCTCATCCAGCGTACTTTTTTCTTATTTCATACTTTCCATCTCTGGAAGTTTGATTTGAGTAATTTTTATATATTCTATATCTCATGTTTAGTCTTTCCTTAACTTTTTTGAGCATTTGAAATATAGTTATAATAATAAGTTTTAGTATTCTTGTCTGCTATCTGTGTAATTTTAGGGTTTGGTTTTGTCTGGTTTATCATCTGTGTAATTTCAGGGTTTGGTTTCATTGTTTTTTTTTTCCTTCATTAGGAGCAGTATTTTCTGTTTTCTTTGCATACCTAGTAATTCTGAATCATTGTGAGTTTTATATTGATCGACTACCAGTAACCATGAGTTTTATCTTGTTGGATGCTGGGAATTTTTGTGTTTCTGTATATTAGCCTTCTCCAACTTTTTTGGCACCAGCGACCAGCTTCATTGAAGACAATTTTTCCACAGATGTGGGTCTGGGAGTGATTTCAGTGTGACTCAAGTGCATTACATTTATTGTGTACTTTATTTCTATTATTATTACATAATCACCTTAATGTAGGATCAGTGGGAGCCCTGAGCTTGTTTCACTGCAACTAGATGATCCCATGTAGTGGTGATGGGAAACAGTGACAGATCATCAGGCATTAGATTCTCATAAGGAGCATGCAACCTAGATCCTCGCATACTCAGTTCACAATAGGGTTCATGATCTTATGATAATCTAATGCTGCCGCTGATCTGACAGGAGGTGGAGCTCAGGAAGTAATGCAAGTGATGGGGAACAACTATAAATATAGATGAAGCTTTGCTTGCTCACCAGTATTTACCTCCTGCTGTGTAGCCTGGTTCCTAACAGGCCATTAATGGGTACTGGTCTGTGGCCTGGGGTTGAAGACCCCTGCTATAGATAGTATTGTTGAGCTTCATTTTGTTATACAGTTAAATTACTTGGAAACATTTTGATCTTTCAGAGGCTTATTTTTAAGCTTTTTTTCCTTTTTATTTTTTGAGACAGAGTCTCACTCTGTCACCCAGGCTGGAGTGTGGTGGTGTGATCTCGGTTCACTGCAACTTCTGCCTCCTGGGTTGAAGTGATTCTCCTGCCTCAGCCTCCGGAGTAGCTGGGACTACAGGTGCCCAGTTCCATGCCTGGCTAATTTTTTTGTATTTTTTAGTAGACACGGGGTTTTACCATGTGCCCAGGCTGGTCTTGAACTCCTGAGCTTCAGGCAATCCACCCACCTCAGTCTCCCAAAGTGCTAGAATTACAGGTGTGAGCCACTGCGCTTGACCCTAAACCTATTTTTTAGGTGAGATCATAGCAGCATTAAATCTTGGGCTTATTTTTTCCACTATTGAGACAATACCCAATCCATAACTCTTCTCAGTGCCTATGAATTATGAAGTTTTTCCTGCTAACTGATGATAAAAACAGCTATTTCTTCCCTATGCTAACTTCAGGGATTATTCCTTGTAATTCAGTTTCTCAACTTTAGAACTATTGACATTTATGTGCTGGATAATTGTTTCTAGAGGGGAGGGGACTGTCCTGTATATGATCAGATGTTTAGGAGCATCCCTGGCCTCAGTACTGTAGGTGGTGGTGACATCCTTTAAATTGTGACAATCAAAAAATGTCTCCAGATATTGCCAGTGGCTCCAAGCGAGTATAGTTGCTCTCAGTTAAGAACCACTGCTCTAATCCTTTCTCATGGTTTTCTTATATGCATGCCATGGCTAAAGACTGCTCAGGACTCAAGTGAGACCTCCTACCATCTCCCAAATTCTGTATCTGCCCCCCTTTCCTCTTCTATAGGCTTCCCTGAGAACTTTAGTCTGTTGACCTCCCTGGATTCTCAGCTCTGTTTTCTCATCTCAAGGAGACCACTGAGTTTTGCCTATGTTTCTTTTTCCCCATCACAGCCTGGAAACTCTAGGCTGTAATGCTGGTGCAATCATAGGTTCACATTGCTTCCTGTCTCTCAAAAATCTCTGCCCCTTGTTGCTTAATGTCCGGTATATTTGAAAACTATTGTTTCATTATCCTTTATTTTTATTTATTTTTAGTCTTTAGTTTTTTCAGGTGGATCCCTGTTAACCTCATCTTGGTCCTCATCCTTATTCTTGAAAGATACTTTTGCTGGATACACAATTTTGGACTGGCTTTTGTTTTTTCTAAGCACTTTGAAAGTATTTGAACTATCTTCTGGTGTCCACTGCTGCTGTTATTCAACTGTCAATCAATTTTCTTCTTTCCTTTCTGATGATCTGTCTTTTTTGCTCTGAGCACTTTTAAGATCTTCTCTTTGCCTTTGCCATTTTGCAGTTCTGCTATGATGTAGTAAGCATAGGTTTCTTTTTATTTTTCCTTGTTCCTGCAGGATATATCAGGCTTCCTGATATATTTTTCCTGAAACTTTAGAGTCTTTCTCTCATCAGTTCTCAAAGATTTACAGACATTATCTTCTTAGGTATTTTACCACATTGATGTTGTTTATTTTTTCCACTTTGAAAGTCTTATTCGATACAAAAAGCATGAACCACAAAGGAAAAAACATTAATTGAGGTCATTAAAATTAGGATCCTTTATTGAGCAAAAATCACCAAGAAGGAGAGTGAAAGGGCAAGCTACCAAAAGGGAGAATGTATTTGTAGTACATATAACTGACAAAAACTTGGGTCCAGTATATTATAAATAGTTCTTACAAATTAATAAGAAAAAGACAGATGCAACAGAAAAACATGCAAATATCTTGAGGAGGCATCTCACAAAGAGACACACATGCCCAATAAACACAAAATGGTTTCAGTCTCATTCATTATAAGGCAAATGATCATTTCAACCACAGAATATACCACTATACATTCAGAACGGCCAAATTTAAACGAATAATATAAAATGCCTGGGATCATGTTAGACAGCTAGAACTCACATATGTTGTTGGTGGAAGCATAATTGAAAAACATTACTAATGTTGAATGTACTTACTATATAACCCATGACCCAGATGTTCTACTCTTAAATATACTTATGTTCTACTCTTAAATATACTTAACTAACATTATATATATATATATATATATATATATATGTTCATCAAAAGATATGAAACATTTATGCCAGAATTATTTATATTAGCCAAGAACTAAAAACAACCCAGATGACCCTCAAAGGCAAAATGGGAAAACTAAGATATTTATATGTTGGAATACTATATAAGAAGGAAAATTAATTACTTCTACCATCAGTAACAGCATGGGTGAATTTCACTAACTTAATATTGGAATAAATGAATACACATTTTTTTAGATGGAGTTTCACTCCTGTTGCCCAGGCTGAAGTGCAATGGTGTGATCTCAGCTCACTGCAACCTTTGTCTCATGGGTTCAAGCAATTCTCCTGCCTCAGCCGCCCAAATAGCTGGGATTGCGGGCACATGCTACCATGCCAGCTAATTTTTTTTATTTTTGGTAGAGACAGGGTTTCTCCATATTGGTCAGGCTGGTCTTGAACTCCCAGCCTCAGGTGATCCACCCACCTCGGCCTCCCAAAGTGCTGGGATTACAGGCGTGAGCCACCATGCCTGGGCAATGAATGCACATTTTTATATAATTATATAATGTACATTATACAATTGCTGAGACCATCTCTGTTGGGGAGACCCTAACCCAGCGGCACTGGAGGAATTAAAGACACACACACACAGAAATATAGACATGTGAATTGGGAAATCAGGGGTCTCACAGCCTTCAGAGTTGAGAGCCCCAAACAGAGATTTATCCACATATTTATTAGCAGCAAGCCAGTCATTAGCATTGTTTCTATAGATATTAAATTAATTAAAATTATCCCTTATTGAAAACAAAGGGATGGGCTGAATTAAAGGAATAGGTTGGGCTAGTTAACTGCAGCAGGAGCACAACCTTAAGGCACAGATGGCTCATGCTATCGTTTGTGGCTTAAGAATGCCTTTAAGAGGTTTTCCATCCTGGGCAGACCAGGTGTTCCTTGCTCTCATTCCGGTAAACCCACAACCTTCCAGCGTGGGCATTACGGCCATCATGAACATGTCACGGTGCTGCAGAGATTTTGTTTATGGCCAGTTTTGGGGCCTGTTTATGGCCAGATTTTGGGGGGCTTGTTCCTAACAGCAATTATATAATGAATTATATAATTGGAATCCTAATTATATAATTTTCAAATAGAGGCAAAGATTGACACCTTGTTGGGTATAGAGGGCATGATGACTAGGAAGGAGCATAAGTGGGGGCCACTGTAGTTTGGTTAATGCTGTATTTCTTGTTTGGGGGTTGTTTATGTGGGCATATTCATGTTTGAAATTTTTTTTATGCCTCAAAAGACTCTTTTTTTTTTCAAGGCAGAAGAATTTTTCTTAGTACAGAACAAAATGGAGGCTCCTATGTCTACTTCTTTCTACACAGACACAGTAACAATCTGATCTCTTTCTTTTCCCCACATTTCCCCCTTTTCTTTCTACTATAACTTATGATTTGTACTTTTTGTATATGTTATAGTCAATACAAAAGTTTGATTTAAAGCTGACACTAGTTGCCATTTTAGAACTTCCATTTCAGTAAACAGCAAATATTAATGATATAAACATAAAAATGCACATATGCTTATAAATTATGGACATGTATGAAGGCAAAGAACAAGGTGCTATGGGATCGAGTCACTGAGAGATCTGCTTTTATGAGATGTTTTGGCCAGACCTCTATGAGAAAGAGTTGTTCAAGTTGAGTGAGGTGGAGCGCAGTGTAAAATAAGGTTGGAGAGACATGCAGGAATTTTAGGACATCCTGGAGAGTTTAGTCTTCATCCCAAGATTGATGGGCAACTTTAGAAGGGCTCTTAAGGGGTTAATTGAGTAATTAAGTTTTAAAAATAATTATTCTGGCTACACTGTGAATTGTGGACTTGAAAATGGACCAGAATTGAATTCCAGTGAGCCATTTAAAGACTACTGCAGTGCTCCAGGCAAAAAATGATGGCATCCATGATCTAGACCAGGGACCTGCCAGCTTTTTATGTAAGAAGTGTGTGTTCTACCTACTAAACTTTGCCATTGTAGCATGACAGCGGCCATAAACAATGCATGAATGAACAAGTATGGCTGTGTTCCAGTAAAACCTGATTTACAAAAACAGATATTGTAGTTACCAATCTCTGATCTAGAGTAAAGAAAAAATTTAGGTATATTTTGGAAGTAGATTTAATAGGATATGGACTAGGTGCAGTGGCTCTTGCCTGTAATCCCAGCACTTTGGGAGGCCGAGGTGGGTGGATCATGATGTCAGGAGTTCAAGACCAGCTTGGCCAAGATGATGAAACCCTGTATCTACTAAAAATACAAAAAATTAGCTGCTTGTGGTGGCAGGCACCTGTAATCCCAGCTACTTGGGAGGCTGAGGTAGAGAATTGCTTGAACCCAGGAGGCAGAGGTTGCAGTGAGCCCAGATTATGCCACTGCACTGCAGCCTGGGTGACAGAGTGAGACTCTTATCGAAAAAAAAAAGAAAATTAAAAAATTAGCTGGGCATTGGGGCATGCGTTTGTAATCCTGGCTACTCAGGAAGCTGGGGAAATAGGATCGCTTGAGGCTGGGAGTTTGAGGTTGCAGCGAGCTATCATCCCACCACTGAACTCCAGCATATGTAACAGAGATAGATCTTGTGTCTAAAAAAAAGTTTTTTAAAAATAGAATATATATTGGATGTTGGGAATGTCAGTAAGAGGAGAGGAATCAAGGATGATTTCTAGGTTTTTGGTTTGAGTAATTTATGAAAAATGAGTGGTGTTGCTTATTAGGGGTCAAGTTCATTGAAAGTCCAAAACCCACTCATCTAAAATAGTGAATAGTGAATATTGACATGTCAAAGTTCTGGTGTTCTCCTCATCTTTGGTCCAGAATTACTTTTATTATTTTATACACATAGTAGTCACCAATTACACAAACAATTAAAGTGAGGGGGAAAAAAAGAATCCATCATATTGATCATTGTTGTGTTTTCTGGTAATAGGAGAAAAAATCGTAGGAAAGAAAAAAATATCGAATATTCTCATACTCTCATTGACAGTGCATCTTTAGCCCTCATGTTCTCCCTTCCTCCAAAAATAACATCCCCTGCACTCTTGCCCCAAATTGATACCCTTATAAGGATAAAACAGAGAATGTACAGGTTAGAGGAGATCATATGTTAATTCTTTACATACATCAGTGACATTGGGGACAGAGGTGGCTGCTAAGTAGAGCTGCCATCTGCTCTCTGGACAAGCACTCTTTCCCATTCCATTTGTAAGAGGCACCTGTTCAAGTAACTGCCTTATTACCACTACTATGTCAAAACTGTAATGCTGTTTTGATTTTCTTTATAGTTTGATGTGTTTGAAATGATATATTTCATATATATATATTTAAATCAACCTTTGAATGTTACAGGCTTTGCTTTCTGTACGTAGTAGTGTGGCTCAGAAGAATTATGACCCTATGTTGCCTCCTATGCCTGAAGATATTGACGATGAGGAAGACTCAATACAAATAATCGGTTTGTTCAAAAATAGAGAACCACTGGTGAGTTTTGGTGCTCAGATATGAGTAGATATCATGATGAGGCTCAATCTGATGGTGCATACCATGTATAACTCTTTTTGAAATATGCCTCCTCTATGTTCTCAAATTTTAAAAGAAATGGAACATTGATGTCTAAAGAACATGCTATTGAAAAATGAAAATGGACCGAGAGCAGTGGCTCACACCTGTTTATCCCAGAAGTTTGAGAGGCCAAGGTGGGCGGATCACAGGGCCAGGATTTCAAGACCAGCATGACCAACATAATAAAACCCCGTCTCTACTAAAAATACAAAATTTAGCCGAGCATGGTGGTGCATATCTGTTGTCCCAGCTACTCGGGAGGCTGAGGCAGGAGAATTGCTTGAACCCGGGAGTTGGAGGTTGTGGTGAGCCAAGATCGCGCCACTACCCTCCAGCCTGGGCAACAGAACGAACCTCCGTCTAAAAAAAAAAAAAAAAAAGAAGAAGCCAAATAAAGTAGTAGGCATTTTATTGGCTACATTTGAATAGCAATGCTTTTGAAAACGTGACCTGTTGACATTTATGAAAGAAAGTGTAACATGTACCAAGCATGACTGATTTTAGATTAAATGGTACAATAAAAAAAAATTGCCTTTGTCTATAGGAACACAACTTTAAGTTATTTTATATACTTCATTCAACAGCTTTTTAAATTTAATTTACAGCAGATCCAACAAAACTTTTGAGAAGTCTCAATGAAGTAAACATTTAATTTCTTAGATAAACATCTTTTAAGGATCTTATTTGGTCAGGAGGCGTGCAAATTAAATTTGTTTAATTTGGCTGGGTGCGGTGGCTCATGCCTGTAATCCCAGCACTTTGGGAGGCCAAGGCGGGCAGATCACGTGGTCAAGAGATTGAGACAATCCTGGCCAATATGATGAAACCTTGTCTCTATTAAAAGTACAAAATATTAGCCGGGCGTGGTGGCAGACGCCTGTAGTCCCAGCTAGTTGGGAGGCTGAAGCAGGAGAATCACTTGAACCCGGGAGGTGGAGGTTGCAGGGAGCCAAGATTGCACCACTGCCCTCCAGCCTGGTGACAGAGTGAGACTCCATCTCAAAACAAAAACACAAAAAACAACAAACCAACAAACAAACAAGCAATGAGGAGCTTCAACATCTGATTTCTTTCGTTGGCTGATAGATTTTTTTCCTTCTTTCCACTAACAATAAGGGATTAGTAACCTGTGTCATCATTATACCTCTAACTCTTCTGGCCACCAGACTTGCCTCTCTACTTACTAGATTTTTTTCCCACAAACCTACACCTGTTTAGGTGTTCTCTGCATTAATGAACAGCATTCATCCAAGCTAAAAACCTGGCTACCAACCTACATTTGTCCATCTTGCCTCACCTCCCACATCCATTAACCACTAAAGTCCTGTTGACCCAATCTCCTAAATCTTTCTTAAATCTGTCCCACTGCCATAGATAGGCTATAACCATTTGTTGCCTAAATTACTCTAATGAATACTTGTTTAGTCTCCTTGCCTCTAGTCTTGCTGCATTCAGTCGCACCTCCAGACTGCCACCCATCAGTCCTTCTAAAATGATGATCTAGTTACATTACTTTACTTTATTTCTTACCTCTACCTGATATACTGGGAATTTCATCATTTGGTCTCTACCTGCCATGTTTCTCTTCTCGCCATTCAATATGCCCCTCTGTTTCTTGCTCTTCTTTTGGCATTGAAGTCTTATGTAAGTTTGCTGGTAGATCTTGAGCACTGAAGGCTAATTGTTCCATACCCCTGTCAAATTGTTCATGGTGTTTATTTTCTCTCTTGAGAAAGGGAAACCATCAGCAGAATCTCCATTTCTACATAGAGTAAGTTACAAATATAGTGGAATTTGTATAGTGGTGTTTCAGATGTCGTATTCTCTATAATACCTTTCCTGTCTTCCTGAGGTAGCATACCTAATACTTCTAATATAATATCTAAATGATTTAAGAAATTTAGCTATTTACATATGTTTCTCCAACAGACTGAAAACTTTAAGACCAGTGGTTTATTTATATTTACATATTCAAAACCTTTTTTTTTTTTTTTTGAGCGGAGTCTTGTGCTATCTCCCAGGCTGGAGTACAGTGGCTCGATTTCAGCTCACTGCAAGCTCCACCTCCCGGGTTCATGCCATTCTCCTGCCTCAGTCTCCTGAGTAGCTGGGACTACAGGTGCCTGCCACCATGCCTAGCTAATTTTTTGTATTTTTAGTAGAGACAGGATTTCACCAGTTAGCCAGCATTGTCTCGATCTCCTGGCCTCGTGATCTGCCTGCCTTGGCCTCCCAGAGTGCTGGGATTACAGGTGTGAGCCACCACGCCTGGCCACATCTTCAGAACTTATATAAGACCAAGTATGTGAATGCTGCTTAGTAGACATTTAGTAAATTAATGAAATTATTCCTCTAGCAGAGATAAAGGGATGTGAATATTAAGCCAATCAAACTCTAAGATAACATGTGACCTCTTTTCAGTATAGTATTCTTGCAGAGAATAATGCCACCTTCTTGATACTATTAATTGATTAACGCAGGAATAGGATCTAGTGTTAGTTTCCTAGTTATTGATTAATTCATTGTTGAGTCTTAATCCATTTCTTCACATTGACAGTAAAAATTATAGAATTTTAGTGAATTTATTTGAGTGGTCACAATATTGTTGGGAAATGTCACTGTGTCGTTAACCAGTATTGATGTGTTGTTTGTGTATTCACGGGTTTCTTTTGCGGGACAGAGGATCAGATGTTGAGAGTTTGGACAGACTCATGAAAACCAAAAACATACCTGAAGCTCACCAAAATGCATTGAAAACTGGGTTTGCAGAAGGTTTTCTGAAAGCTCAAGCACTCTCAAAAAAAAAACAGTAGTAAGTTGATTTGAAACTGTCCATGTTTGAGAAGAATAACTGAAAGGAAGTCATAGTCCTACATTTAAGTTTTAAGTAACTTTTCTAAGACTATCCATCTTTCTATTGATTGAATTCCACTATATTTGTAACCTTATGTAGAAATGGAGATTCTGCTGATGGTTTCCCTTTCTCAAGAGAGAAAACAAATTGAAGAACAGGAAGTGTGAGTGGCTTAACAAAGGTTTTTGTTTCTTTGTTTGTGTGTGTGTGTGTGTGTGTGTGTGTGTGTGTTTTGAGACACAGTTGTGCTTCATTGCCCAAGCCAGGAGTGCAGTGGTGTAATCACGGCTCCTAGCAGTCTTAACTTTCTGGGCTCAAGTGATTCTCTCACCTCAGCCTCCTGAGTAGCTAGGACCACAGGTATGTGCCACTACGTCCAGCTAATTTTTGTAGAGATGTAATCATTCCATGTTGTCCAGGCTGGTCTTGAACTCCAGGACTCAAGTGATCCTCCTGCATTGACCTCTTAAAGTGCTGGGATGATAGGCATGAGCCACCATGCTCAGCCTTAATGAAGTTTTTGATAATAGGATACTTACAGGAAATCATAGCAGTTATGAAAAAGAATGCCAGATTCCAAAATTGCATGTGATGAAATATGATTATCAATAACCTAATATTTGCATTTCATTGAGCTGTCATATTTCATTAATGTTATTTGATGTAAGGCTTTTTCTTTCTCTCCTAGATTCCCTAAGACGAACCTGTCTGATTCTCTTCTTTCTGCTGCTATTCGGCATTTACGGACTTTTAAAAAACCCATTTTATCTGGTAAAAGTATTTTTATTAATCTAACTTGTTAGTTTCTTATTCCTTTAAATACATGATTCTATTTAATGCTTAATCTAAACCTTAAAGAAAGAACATATTAATGTTTATAGTTCCAGAAGCTAGGCTTTCACTCCTAGTAGTGGTTAGTTTCTCAGATTTTTAGAAAATGATACCTGTCTAGTTATAAAATTTAAAAATTATCCTGATCAACAGGGTGAAAGGAAAATTAATTAATTAGTTAATTAATTTAAAAATTATGTGGAAGAATTTTAGAATAGCAATACAAGCTGAAATAGCCTTCTATTTCAAAGATAAACTAATAAATTCAATTTATTCAGAAAATTACATTAAATGTTTCTCTTTTTTATAGTTTGCTTATCTGAAATGAAGTAATAGTGTAAGACTTAAGTGTTTCCAATTACTTTTTCAACCACCATGCAGTTTTCACGCTGTGTTCTCTATTCTCTTTATTATTAAGGATATGTACAGATTTAAAAAAATACTTTAGTGGGCTAAAACTATTAGTGTTCATTCTAGAATTACTATTTTAAATTTGCTCTCCCAACTTCTGTGTTCTTGATTTATTAAGGATTTCTTCTTAACCCTGTATTTTGCCAACTCATTTTTCAGCCTATCTTAAAAGTATTTTTGGGCTTCTTTTGAGGAAAATAGAAATTGCTCAATTTACTCATTTATAACTGCTCTAGTTTGGAAGTTTCTGAGTGGGAAAGATTTAAGAAATCCTTGTAATAGTTCTCCAAAATTGATCTCAAATATTTTACTGTCCTGTCAGACTTTTTCTGTCTTGGTTGTACTTAATGATGTCATAACCGATAGGTCATTTGAGGGCAAGTAATAACAGTTGTCAGAAGAAAAAGACTACATGGAAAGTGTAGTCTTTCCATGGGTCAAATCTCAATTTTTTATTAGTGTGTGTCAGTATTTTCTGCTAACTTTAAGGCAATATATTTCAAAGTGTAGATCTGTGATCAGTTATATCAGAATAATCTAAGTTTTTGTTAAAAATGCAAATTCTCCTGGGCCCTTTCTCAAATTTACAAACATAGTTCTGTGTTATGGCCTGAGAACCAGCATTTTAACATATTTCTCAAGTGACTTTTATTCACACCAAAGATTGAGAAATGCTGAATTAAGATTTCTATCATTAGATACTACAATAAGAAGTGGAAAATAATTTTTGATTTTACTAACTGGAAAGTACAAATATGTCTTAGTATTTTTTAATTTTTATTTTTTCAAGTTTATTAAGAAGGTAAAGGAATAAAAGAACGGAATGGCTACTCCATAGGCAGAGCAGCTGAAATATGTCTTTTTAATGTGAATCACTTACTCTTTGAAAATGGTTTAGAAACCCAGAAGACCTAGTTTATATTCCTCATTCTGATTTGATATGTGAAGTTAGTTCCCTTAGACATTTAATTTTTCTAGGCTTTGCTTTCTTGCATCTAAAAAGTAAAGTGATTGGAATGTTATTAATCTATCAAATATAAGCATTTCTTTTCTTCCCTTTAGTCTGCTTCCAGACAACAATGGGGCTTGATTCTGCAATAGATCCTGTCCAGATAAAAGATGTTACCTTTGAACGTGTTAAAGTCATAAGTTGAGAAGATTGCCTTGCCTTCTTCATACATTCTCTAATTGATACTCTGTATAAAGTCCATATTTGATTCTGCAATGTATTCTGGAATAGGTAAAATTGCATCCCAAAGTATTAGAAACATTTGTATTTTGGGATAAATAATAATAGCCAAGTATCAAATCTTGCTTTATGACAGGGATTAGTATAATTTATGAAGGAGCAGCCTGGTATAGTGGAGTGAATGTGGACTTCAGAGTCAAGTTGACTAACTTTTGAAATTCATTTTAATACTTATTAGCTATGTAACCTTGAAGAATTTACTTTAGATTCTGACAAATAATGTGTGTGCTTGGCACATAGTAGACAGTTAATAAATGGTCCTTCTTTACCTGTTCCTCTTATTGATCTTTCTAACTCCAGTAGCCTCCCGAAGTGCTGGGATTACAGAGGTGAGCCATCGCACCCAGCTGACAATGTATATTTCTTGAATGAATGAATAGAATGGATAGATGCTAGTTTATAGTCAATTAATTTGTTAAATATTTAATGGTATCTTTTTATTTTATTTATTTATTTATTTATTTATTTATTTATTTATTTATTTATTTATTCTTGTGATGGAGTCTCACACTGTCACCCAGGCTGGAGTGCAGTGGAGCAATCTTGGCTCACTGCAACCTCCACCTCCCGGGTTCACAGCATTCTCCTGCCTCAGCCTCCCAAGTACTGGGACTACAGGCACCCACCACCATGCCTGGCTAATTTTTTGTATTTTTAGTAGAGACAGGGTTTCATCATGTTAGCCAGGTTGGTCTCAGTCTCCTGACCTCATGATCCACCCACCTCGGCCTCCCAAAGTGTTGGGATTATAAGCGTGAGCCACCACACTAGGACTAAATATTTAATAGTATCTGTTAAGAGCTAGACTCTATTTTAGCTGCTGGAATAGAATAATCTCTGTCTTCATAGAGTTTAAATTCTAAAAGCAGGAACTGGACATTGATATGTCATATTAGAATTTAGTAGAATATGTTAAAAGGTAATAAAAATGTATGGAGGAAAGAATAGAGCAAGGTAAAGAGGTTTAGAAGCTCTGGGAGAAGGATTATAGTTTTAAATGGAATGTTCAAGGTGTGATTGAAGGAGAAGGTGACATTTGAGAGAAAATCTGAAGGAGAAGAAGGAATAAACTGCATTTATCTTAGAAAAGAACATTTCTGGCAAAAGGAACAGATTGAGCAAAGGCTCTGAGGTAGTAGGGTGTCTGTTTAGTTCATTTTTGAAAGTAGGACCAATAGGATTTCTTTTTATTTATTTATTTTTTGAGACAGAGTCTCCCTGTCACCCAGGCTGGAGTGCAGTGGCACAATCTCAGCTCACTGTAACTTCTTCCTCCCAGGTTCAAGTGATTATCCTGCCTCAGCCCCCTGAGTATCGGGGATTACAGACACCTGCCACCATGCCTGGCTAATTTTTGTATTTTTAGTAGAAATGGGGTTTCACCATGTTGGCCAAGCTGGTCTCGAACTCCTGACCTCGTGATCTGCCCATCTCGGCCTCCCAAAGTTCTGGGATTACAGCCATGAGCACCACACCCAACCTTTACTGAGGTATTAAAAGGCTGTGAGTGGAACAGATTTGGGGGATGAAGGTTAGAAATTTAGTTTTAGGTATGTTAAGTGTGAGAGATACAAATGAAAGTGTTGCATGACTTGGATATACCACTTTGGAGATATGGGAGAGATCTGAGCTAGAACTAAAAATATGAGATTGGAGGGCAGTTCCAAGATGGCCAAATAGGAACAGCTCCAGTCTACAGCTCCCAGGGTGAGTGACACAGAAGATGGGTGATTTCTGCATTTCCAACTGAGTTACGGCATTCATCTCACTGAGGCTCATCAGACAGTGGGAGCAGGATAGTGGGTGCAGCCCACCAAGCGTGAGCCAAAGCACGGCAAGGCAACTCCTCACCCAGGAAGTGCAAGGGGTCAGGGAATTCCCCTTCCTAGCCAAGGGAAGGGGTGACAGATGGCACCTGGAAAATCGGGTCACTCCCACCCTAATACTGTGCTTTTCCAATGGTCTTAGCAAAAGGCACACCAGGAGATTATATCCTGCACCTGGCTTGGAGGGTCCCATACCCACAGAGCCTCGCTCACTGCTAGCGCAGCAGTCTGAGATCAAACTGCAAGGTGACAGCAAGGCTGGGGGAGGGGCGCCCACCATTGCCGAGGCTTGAGTATGTAAACAAAGCATCCAGGAAGCTCGAACTGGGTGAAGCCCACTGCAGCTCAAGAAGACCTGCCTGCCTCTGTAGATTCCACCTCTGGGGTAGGGCATAGCTGAACAAAAGGCAGCAGAAACCTCTGCAGACTTAAATATCCCTGTCTGACAGCTTTGAAGAGAGTAGTGGTTCTCCCAGCATGGAGTTTGAGATCTGCCTCCTCAAGTGGGCCCCTGACCCCCGAGTACCCTAACTAGGAGGCACTCCCCAGTAAGGGCAGACTGACACCTCACACGGCCGGGTACCCCTCTGAGACAAAACTTCCAGATGAATGATTAGGCAGCAACAATTGCTGTTCAGCAATACTCGCTGTTCTGCTGCCTCTGCTGCTGATACCCAGGGAAACAGCGTCTGGAATGGACCTCCAGCAAACTCCAACAGACCTGCAGCTGAGGATCCTGACTATTAGAAGGAAAACTAAAAAACAGAAAGGACATCCACACCGAAACCCCATCTGTCGGTCACCATCATCAAAGACCAAAGGTAGATAAAACCACAAAGATGGGGAAAAAAAAGAGCAGAAAAGCTGAAAATTCTAAAAATCAGAGGACCTCTCCCATCCAAAGCAATGCATCCCCTCACCAGCAATGGAACAAAGCTGGATGGACTTTGACGAGTTGAGAGAAGAAGGCTTCAGATAATCAATCTTCTCCAAGCTAAAGGAGAAAGTTTGAACCCAATGCAAAGAAGTTAAAACCTTGAAAAAAGATTAGACAAATGGCTAACTAGAATAACCAGTGTAGAGAAGCCCTTAAATGACCTCATGGAGATGAAAACCATGGCATGAGAACTACATGATGAATGCACAAGCTTCAGTAGCTGATTCGATCAACTGGAAGAAAGTTTATAAGTGATGGAAGATCAAATGAATGAAATGAAGAGAGAAGAGAAGTTTAGAGAAAAAAGAATAAAAAGAAATGAACAAAGCCTCCAAGAAATATGGGACTATGTGAAAAGACCAAATCTACATTTCATTGGTGTACCCAAAAGTGACGGGGAGAATGGAACCAAGTTGCAAAACACTCTGCAGGATATTATCCAGGAGAACTTCTCCAACCTAGCAAAGCAGGCCAACATTCAAATTCAGGAAATATAGAGAAAGCCACAAAGATACTCCTCAAGAAAAGCAACTCCAAGACACATAATTGTCAGATTCACCAAAGCTGAAATGAAGGAAAAAATATTAAGGGCAGCCAGAGAGAAACGTTGGGTTACCCACAAAAGGAATCCCATCAGACTAACAGCTGATCTCTCAGCAGAAACTCTACAAGCCAGAAGAGAGTGGGGGCCAATATTCAACATTTCTAAAGAAAAGAATTTTCAACCCAGAATTTCATATCCAGCCAAACTAAGCTTCATAAGTGAAGGAGAAATAAAATCCTTTACAGACAAGCAAATGCTGAGAGATTTTTGCCACAACCAGGCCTGCCCTACAAGAGCTCCTGAAGGAAGCACTAAACATGGAAAGGAAAAACCGGTAACAGCCACTGCAAAAACATGCCAAATTGTAAAGACCATCGAGGCTAGGAAGAAACTGCATCAACTCATGAGCAAAATAACCAGCTAACATCATAATGACAGGATCAAATTCACACATAACAATATTAACCTTAAATGTAAATGGGCTAAATGCTGCAATTAAAAGACAGAGACTGCAAATTGGATAAAGAGTCAAGACCCATCAGCGTGCTATATTCAGGAGACACATCTCACGAGCAGAGACACACATAAGCTCAAAATAAAGGGATGGAGGAAGATCTACCAAGCAAATGGAAAACAAAAAAAGGCAGGGGTTGCAATCCTAGTCTCTGATAAAACAGACTTTAAACCAACAAAGATCAAAAGGGACAAAGAAGGCCATTATATAATAGTAAAGGGATCAATTCAACAAGAAGAGCTAACTATCCTAAATATATATGCACCCAATAGAGGAGCACCCAGATTCAAAAAGCAAGTCCTTAGTGACCTACAAAGAGACTTAGACTCCCACACAATAATAATGGGAGACTTTAACACCCCACTGTCAACATTAGACAGATCAACGAGACAGAAAGTTAACAAGGATATCCAGGAATTGAACTCAGCTCTGCACCAAGCAGACCTAATAGACATCTACAGAACCCTCCACCCCAAATCAACAGAATATACATTCTTCTCAGCACCACACCACACTTATTCCAAAATTGACCACATAGTCGGAAGTAAAGCACTTCTCAGCAAATGTAAAAGAACAGAAATTATAACAAACTGTCTCTCAGACCACAGTGCAATCAAATTAGAACTCAGGATTAAGAAACTCACTCAAAACTGCTCAACTACATGGAAACTGAACAACCTGCTCCTCAATGACTACTGGGTACATAACGAAATGAAGGCAGAGATAAAGATGTTCTTTGAAACCAATGAGAACAAAGACACAACATACCAGAATCTCTGAGACACATTTAAAGCAGTATGTGGAGGGAAATTTATATCACTAAGTGCCCACAAGAGAAAGCAGGAAAGATCTAAAATTGACACCCTAACATCACAATTAAAAGAACTAGAGAAGCAAGAGCAATGACATTCAAAAGCTAGCAGAAGGCAAGAAAGAACTAAGATCAGAGCAGAATTGAAGGAGATAGAGACACGAAAAACTCTTCAAAAAATCAATGAATCCAGGAGTTGGTTTTTTGAAAGGATCAACAAAATTGATAGACCGCTAGCAAGACTAATAAAGAAGAAAAGAGAGAAGAATCAAATAGACGCAATAAAAAATGATAAAGGGGATATCACCATGGATCCCACAGAAATACAAACTACCATCAGAGAATACTATAAACATCTCTATGCAAATAAACTAGAAAATCTAGAAGAAATGGATGAATTCTTCGACACATACACCCTCCCAAGACTAAACCAGGAAGAAGTTTAATCCCTGAATAGACCAATAACAGGATCTGAAATTGAGGCAATAATTAATAGCCTACCAACTAAAAAAAGTCCAGGACCAGAAGGATTCACTGCCAAATTCCACCAGAGGTACAAGGAGGAGCTGGTACCATTCCCTCTGAAACTATTCCAATAAATAGATAAAAAGGGAATCCGTCTTAACTCATTTTATGAGGCCAGCATCATCCTGATACCAAAGCCTGGAAGAGACACAACAAAAAAAGAGAATTTTAGACGAATATCCCTGATGAACACTGATGCAAAAATCCTCAATAAAATACTGGCAAACAGAATCCAGCAGCACATCAAAAGGCTTATCCATCATGATCAAGTGGGCTTCATCCCTGGGATGCAAGGTTGGTTCAACATACGCAAATCCATAAATGTAATTCAGCATATAAACAGAACCAATGACAAAAACCACATGATTATCTCAACAAATGCAGAAAAGGCCTTCGACAAAATCCAACAGCACTTCATGCTGAAAACTCTCAATAAATTAGGTATTGATGGGACATATCTCAAAATAATAAAAGCTATTTATGACAAACCCACAGCCAATATCATACTGAATGGGCAAAAACTGGAAGCATTCCCTTTGAAAACTGGTACAAGACAGGCATGCCCTCTCTCACCACTCCTATTCAACGTGGTGTTGGGAGTTCTGGCCAGGGCAGTCAGGCAGGAGAAAGAAATAAAGGGTATTCAATTAGGAAAACAGGAAGTCAAATTGTTCCTGTTTGAAGATGACATGATTGTATGTCTAGAAAACCCCATCATCTCAGCCCAAATCTCCTTAAGCTGATAAGCAACTTCAGCAAAGTCTCAGGATACAAAATCAATGTGCAAAAATTACAAGCATTCTTATACACAAATAATAGACAAATAGAGATCCAAAACATGAGTGAACTCCCATTCACAATTACTTCAAAGAGAATAAAATACCTAGGAATCCAAATTACAAGGGATGTGAAGGACCTCTTCAAGGAGAACTACAAACCACTGCTCAATGAAATAAAGAGGATACAAACAAATGGAAGAACATTCCATGCTCATGGATAGGAAGAATCAATATCGTGAAAATGGCCATACTGCCCAAGGTAATTGATAGATTCAGTGCCAACCCCATCAAGGTACCAATGAATTTCTTCACAGAATTGGAAAAAACTACTTTAAAGTTCATATGGAACCGAAAAAGAGCCCACATTGTCAAGATAATCCTAAGCCAAAAGAACAAAGCTGGAGGCATCACGCTACCTGACTTCAAACTATACTACAAGGCTACAGTAACCAAAACAGCATGGTACTGATACCAAAACAGAGATAAAGACCAATGAAACAGAACAGAGCCCTCAGAAATAACAACACACATTTACAACCATCTGATCTTTGACAAACCTGACAAAAACAAGAAATGGGGAAAGGATTCCCTATTTAATAAATGGTGCTGGGAAAACAGGCTAGCCATATGTAGAAAGCTGAAACTGGATCCCTCCCTTACACCTTATGCAAAAATTAATTCAAGATAGATTAAAGACTTAAATGATAGACCTAAAGCCATAAAAACTATAGAAGAAAACATAGGCAATACCATTCAGGACATAGGCATGGGCAAGGACTTCATGTCTAAAACACCAAAAGCAGTGGCAACAAAAGCCAAAATTGACAATGGGAAATAATTAATAAAGAGCTTCTGCACAGCAAAAGAAACTACCATCAGAGTGAACAGGCAACCTACAGAATGGGAGAAAATTTTTGCAATCTACTCATCTGACGAAGGGCTAATATCCAGAATCTACAATGAACTCAAACAAATTTACAAGAAAAAAACAAACAACCCCATCGAAAAGTGGGCAAAGTATATGAACAGACACTTCTCAAAGGAAGACATTTATGCAGCCAAGAGACACATGAAAAAATGCTCTTATTAATATAAGATCCACAATTCCCTCACTGCCATGAAGTCCTAAGACAGCAATCATAATAATCAACATTCACTTAGTCAATACAAACGTAGTAAGGAACCTAGGGTTAAGGTTGGTGTTAGGGTTAGGGGTTAGGGGTTAAGTTTAGGGTTAGGGGTTGGAGATAGGGGTTGGGGTCAGAGTTAGGGGTTAGGAGTCAACATTTACAGTTGGGGTTGAGAGGTTAGGGGTTAGGGATTAGGGGTTGGGCTTGGGTTAGGGTGAGGATGAGGGTTGGGGTTAGGTTTTAGGGTTAGGGTTAGGGTTAGGGGTTAGGGTTAAGGGTTAAGGGTTAGGGTTAGGGGTTAGGGGTTATGGTCAGGGGTTAGGGGTCAGGGTCAGGGGTTATGGGTCAGGGTCAGGGTCAGGGTCAGGGTCAGGGGTCAGAGTCAGGGTTAGCAGTCCCAATCTGTGGGTTGTCTATTTACTCTGCTGACTGTTCCCTTTGCCATGCAAAAGCTTTTTAGTTTAATTAAGCCCCAGCTATTTATCTTTGTTTTTATTGCATTTTCATTTGGTTTCTTGGTCATGAAATCCTTGCCTATGCCAATGTCTAGAAGGGTTTATCCAGTGTTATCTTCTAGAATTCTTATAGTTCAGGAATTAGGTTTAAGTTCTTAATCCATCTTGAGTAGATTTTTGTATAAGGTGAGAGATGAGAATCCAGTTTTATTCCCCTACATGTGGCTCGCCAATTATCCCAACATCATGTGTAGGAAAGGGTGTCTTTCCCCACTTATTTTTTTTTTTACTTTGTCGAAGATCAGTTGGCTGTAAGTATTTGGATGAATTTCTGGGTTCTCTCTTCTGTTCTATTGGTTTATGTGCCTATTTTAAAACCAGTACCATGCTGTTTTGGTAGCTATGGCCTTATTGTACAGTTTGAAATCAAGTAGTGTGATGCCTCCAGGTTTGTTCTTTTTGCTTAGCCTTGGTTTGGCTACATGGCTCTCTTTTTGTTCTGTATTAATTTTAGAATTGTTTTGTAATTCTGTGAAGAATGATGGTGGTATTCAGATGGGGATTGCATTGAATTTGTAGGTTGCTTTTAACAGAACGGTAATTTTCACAATATTGGTTCTACCCATCTATGAGCATGGGGATGCATTTCCATTTGTTTGTGTCATCTATGATTTCTTTTCTTTCTTTTTTTTTCCAGAGGGAGTTTCACTCTTGTCGCTGAGGTGGGAGTGCAATGGTGTGATCTCGGCTCACTACAACTTCTGCCTCCTGGGTTCAAGCGATTCTCCTGCCTCAGCTTCCTGAGTAGCTGGGATTATAGGCATGCACCACCATGCTTGGCTCCATCTATGATTTCTTTCAGCAGTGTTTTGTCATTTTCATTGTAGAGGTCTTTTGATTCCTTTGCTAGGTATATTCCTAAGTTTTGTTTTTTGTTGTTTTTGTTTTTTGCAGCTATTGTAAAAGGGGTTGAGTTCTTGATGTGATTCTCTGCTTGGTAGCTGTTGATGTATAGAAGAGCTACTGATTTGTGTCCATTAATCTTGTATCTGGAAACTTTGCTGAATTCTTTTATCAGTTCTAGGAGCTTTCTAGAGGAGTCCGTAGGGTTTTCAAGGTGAAAGATCATATCGTCAGCAACCAGTGACAGTTTGATTTCCTCTTTACCAATTTGGATTTCCTCTATTTCTTTCTTTTGTCTGATTGCTCTGGCCAGGACTTCCAGTACTATGTTGAAGAGGAGTGGTGAGAGTAGGCTCCTTGTCTTGTTCCAGTTCTCAAAGGGAATGCTTTCACCTTCTCCCCATTCAGTATTATGTTGGCTGTGGGCTTGTCATAGGTGCGTTTTATTACATTAAGCTATGTCCCTTTTATGCCTATTTTGCTGAGAGCTTTAATCATAAAGCAATGCTAGATTTTGTCAAATGCTTTTTCTGCATCTGTTGATACAATCATGTGAGTTTTTTTTAAATTCTGTTTATTTGGTGTATCACATTTATTGACTTGCATATGTTAAACCATTCCTGTATCGCTGGTATGAAACCCACTTGATAATCGTGGATTATCTTTTTGATATGTTTTGGATTCAGTTAGATAGTATTTTGTTAATTATTTTGGCATCTGCATTCATCAAGGATATTGGTCTGTAGTTTTCTTTTTTGGTTATGTCCTTTCTTTGTTTTGGTATTAGGGTGATGCTGGCTTCATAGAATGAATCAGGGAGGGTTTCTTCTTTCTCTGTCTTGTGGAATAGTGTGAAAGGATTGGTATCATTTCTTCTTTGAATGAAAGAAGACATTCTTTGAATGTCTGATAGAATTCTGCTGTGAATATGTCTGGTCCTCGGCTTTTTTTGTTGGTAATTTTATAATTACCATTTCAATCTTGCTGCTTGCTTTATTGATCTGCTTGGGGTATCTAATTCTTCCTGATTTAAGCTAGGAGGGTTGTATTTTTCCAGGAATTTATCCAACTCTTCTAGGTTTTCTAGTTTATGTGCCAAAAGGTGTTCATAGTACCCTTGAATAATCTTTAATATTTCAGTGGTGTCAGTTGTAATATCCCGTTTCATTTCTTAGTGAGGTTATTTGGGTTTTCTCTCTTCTTTTCTTGGTTAATCTTGCTAATGGTCTATCAATTTTATTTATCTTTTCAAATAACCAACTTTTTGTTTTATTTATGTTTTGTATTTGTTGTTTTTGCTGTTGTTGTGTCAATTTCATTTAGTTCTGCTATGACCTTGATTATTTCCTTTGTTTGCTGGGATTGGGTTTGGCTCGTTCCTGCTTCTCTGGTTCCCTGAGATGTGAACTTAGATTGTCTCTTTGTGCTCTTTCAGACTTTTTCAAGTAGGTGTTTAGGGCTACAAACTTTCCTCTTAGCACTGCCTTTGCTGTATCCCAGAGGTCTTGATAGGTTGTGTCATCCAGTTCAAAGAAATTTTTTACATTTCCATCTTGATTTCGTTTTTCACCCAATGCTCATTCAGGAGCAGGTTATTTAATTTCCATGTATTTGCATGGTTTTGAAGATTCCTTTTGGAGTTGATTTTCAGTTTTATTCCACTGTGATCTGAGAGAGTGCGTGATACAATTCCAATTTTCTTAAATTTACTGAGACTCGTTTTATGGCCTATCATATGGTCTATCTTGGAGAAAATTCCATGTGCTGTTGAATAGAATGTGTATTCTGTGGTTGCTGGATGAAATGTTCTGTATATATCTGTTAAGTCCATTTGTTCCAAAGTATAGTTTAAATCCAGTGTTTCTTTGTTGACTTTGTCTTGATGACCTGTCTAGTGCTGTCAGTGGAGTATTGAAGTCCCCCATTATTATTGTGTTGCTGTCTATCTCATTTCTTATGTCTACTAGTAATTGTTTTATAAATTTGGGAGCTCCAGTGTTAGGTTCATGTATGTTTAGGATTGTCATATTTTTCTGTTGGATGAGACCTTTACCATTATATACTGTCTGTCTTTGTCTCTTTTAGCTGCTGTTACTTTAAAGTTTGTTTTGTCTCATATGAGAATAGCTACCGCTGCTCGCTTTTGGTGTCCATTTGCATGAAATGCCTTTTTCTACCACTTTCCTTAAGTTTATGTAAGTCGTTATGTGTTAGATGAGTCTCCTGAAGGCAGCAGATAGTTAGTTGGTGTGTTCTTATCCATTCTGTGGTTCTGTATCTTGTAAGTGGAGCATTTAAGCCATTTACAACCAACATTAGTATTAAAAAGTGAGATAACATTGCTTTCATCTTGCTCTTTGCTGCCTCTGTACTTTGTTTTTGTTTTTTGTTTTTGCTGTTTAACTTGTATTTTTGTTTTATAGGTCTTGTGTGATTTATGCTTTAATGAAGTTCTGTTTTGATGTGTTTCCAGGATTTGTTTCATGATTTAGAGCTCCTTTTAGCAGTTCTTACAGTGTTGGTTTGGTAATGGCAAATTCTGTCAGCATTTGTTTGTCTGAAAATGGCTGTATCTTTCCTTCATATATGATGTTTAGTTTTGCTGGATACAAAATTCTTTGCTGATAATTGTTTTGTTTGAGGAGGCTGAAGAAAGGGCCCCAATCCCATCTAGCTTGTAAGGTTTCTGCTGCAAAATCTGCTGTTACTTTGATAGGTTTTCCTTTATAGGTTACCTAGTGCTTCTGTCTCACAGCTCTTAAGATTCTTTCCTTTGTCTTAACTTTGGATAACCTAATGACAGTGTGCCTAGGCTAAGATCTTTTTGTGATGAATTTCCCAGGTGTTATTTGTGCTTCTTGTATTTGGATGTCTAGGTCTCTCACAAGGCCATGGAAGTTTTCCTTGATTATTCCCCCAAATATGTTTTCCTGGCTTTTAGAATTCACTTCTTCCTCAGGTACACTAATTAGTCTTAGGTTTCATCGTTTAACAGAATGCCAGACTCCTTGGAGGCTTTGCTCATACTTTCTTATTCTTTTTTCTTTGTCTTTATTGGATTGGGTTAAATCAAAGACCTTGTCTTCGAATTCTGAATTTCTTTCTTCTACTTGTTCAATTCTATTGCTGAGACTTTCCAGAGCAGTTCACATTTCTAAAAGTGCACACAAAGTTTCCTGATTTTTTATTTTTTTATTTTCATTTTTTTTAACTTAAGCTATTTCCTTGAATGTTTCTCCCTTCATTTGCTGTATCATTTTTTGGATTTTCTTGCATTGGACTTCACCTTTCTCTGGCCCCTCCCTGATTAGCTTAATAACTAACCTGAATTCTTTTTCAGATAAATCAGTGATTTCTTCTTTGTTTGGATCCATTGGTGATGAACTGGTGTGATTTTTGGGGGGGGTGTTGAAAAGTCTTGTTTTGTCAGATTACCAGGGCTGGTTTTCTGGTTCCTTCTCATTTTGGTAGACTCTGTCAGAGGAAAGGTCTAGGGCTGAAGACTGTTGTTCAGACTCTTTTGTCCCACAGGGTTTTCCCTTGATGTAGTACTCTCCCCCTTTTCCTATGGGCATGGCTTCTGTGAGCTGAAGTGCATTGATTGTTGTCTCTCTTCTGGGTCTAGACACCCAGCAGGTCTACCTGGCTTTGGGCTGGTACTAGGGTTTGTCTGCATAGAGCCCTGTGATGTGAACCATCTATGGGTCTCTCAGCTGTGGATACCAGCACCTGTTCCAGCAGAGGTGGTGAAGGGGGCAATAGACTCTGTGAGGGTCCTTAGTTTTAGTGGTGTAATGCTCTATATTTGTGCTGGTTGGCCTCCTGCCAGGAGGTGGTGCTTTCCAGAAAGCATCAGCTGTAGTAGTGTGGAGGGACTGGCAGTGGGCAGGGCCCTAGGACTCCCAAGATTATATGTCCTTTGTCTTCCACTACCAACTTAAACATTTGTGACAATTTCAATATCAGAAATTTATGTGTAATCGAATTTATTCTGGTAGCTTTTTTTCTTATATGCTTCAATCTTTATAATTTAGTTCTCACATGAGAGAGATCTAATATTGGAAATATTTTCAATCTGTATGTTTATGTATTTATTCTAGTTGTCCTGGCGAAAGGTTATCAATGTTGCTGTGTCACCAGCCATTGGCTTTTCACATTTACAACTCCTCTGAATTTATTCTTACCTCATTTCTGGTGCTGGGAAATTCTGATTTTTTCTCCTCATCTCCATTGTACATTTTAGGGATTCTTGAAACTTTTGATGCACAAACGTCCATACTTTCCACATAAGTAAAATATTTTACTTAGATATTTTCTAGCAGACACTGAGTTCTCATGAGAAATCCTCAGTCTCTTTATTTGGAACACCCCCTGCCCAATATTCCATATGGAGTAGTTGTGTGTAGAATGTGATTACTTCATGAATAAGTCAAAGTATGGATACATTTTGAAAACATTTCTGAAGTTGTAATCCCTTTCTTGATGAATAGTACCTGTTCAAGAGCAGAATTGATGTTTTCTCTGGAGCAGTAAGTTAGCACTGGTAGAATCTGTTCTGTAATCCCAGGTCCTTGGGCTCCAGTGTCAATGCTTCCTCCTTAGATCCTCCCTGACCCTGTAAATTTACCTCAGTCTCTATTTCTTAATCCAATAGCTATTTAAATTGATCTTCAATTACTTTGTATGTGGCCAGATATTATTTGTGGGTTATATTCTAATTCCCATTTTTCTGATGTAATTTCAGAGAGCCTAGAAAATATCACCTTGTGAATATCTACTTCCATGAAGTCAGTGACACATTTTTAGGTCTTAAACCTCAATATTTAAAATATTTGTCTCTGGAATTTGAAAATAAGATGTATGCTTTGTTTACTGGATAAAAAGGTTAATCACTTGTTCATCTGATTAGTAATCAAAGTTTCTAAAATTTATTTAATACTTGATGTTACTTTATGTTTTATATAAATGTGTATTTCTATGACAGTTTTAGTGTCACCTAATATTATTTTCAATGTTGTAATTTTTATGTATATGAATCTTTGTGCTATACATTTTAGTGTCATTGGTATGAAAGCTATATGTGCAAATAGCTTGAAATAGCACCTAACACATCATGGATTCTATGTAAATATTCACCACTCTATTTCATCGCATTTTAACCAATTAATACCATTCTTCATTTGCTAACATTTTGTTTGTCCTCATTCAAATGTGTGTTGGTGTCCTGTCTACATATTAATAAAAGAGAGGAGGTAGGCCCAGACTTCCATCTTGATTAAATGCTAAGACAAATGGCACATTTTCCTAGTTCTATTTATATGCAACATTACATTTGTCTCACACTATAAATATGAGTATTCAGTTAAGTACAGCAAAAAAAAAAAAAAAAAATCTTAACCTTCTTACAACAGATGTTGGGATATTCACGGATTGTCCACAACTTCCTTCTCCCAACATTACTTTTATTCTTACATCTCAACTGCCACAAAAACCTAGAAGCATGAAATACTACAAATTAGAAACAAATTCCCTGCTATACACAAATTGTAAAAGTAAACCAAGAAGAAAGAGAATATATGCGTACTTATACAGCAAGTAAATAGATTAGACTAATGAGAACTCTTCTTCAGTCTAGCCCAGGCTCACATAGCTTCACTAGTGAATTCTATTAAACACTTAATGAATAACCAATCCTTCACAAACACTTGCAAAACAGAGAAGCAGGAAAACATCAATTCATTTTTGAGGCCAGTATTACCCAGATAACAAATCAGACAAAAGCAGCACAAGAAAATAAATAAATAAAAATAAAATAAATCCCGCATGAATGAAGGCAGAAATCTCCAAAAACTCTAGCAAACTAGAGGAAGCAACACATAAAAATGTTAGACAAGCCTGGCATGGCAGTGCACACCTGTAGTCCCAGCTACTTAGGAGGCTGAGGTGGCAGGAACACTTAAGCCCAGGAGTTTGAGGTTATAGTTAGCTGTGACTGTGCCACTCCACCCCAACCTGGGGGACAGAGTGAGGCCTCACCTCTAATAAAAATTAAAGAAAATTAGAAAAAAGTTAGACAATATAACCAAGTGGAATTATCTTACAAATACAAATTTAAAAATCAATCAGTGTAATACACCATATTAATAGAATAAAGGAAAAGACCATGAGGATTTCAATGGATGTCTGACAATGTCTGACACTCATTCCTGATGAATCTTCCAGAAATCTAGCAATAGAAATAACTTCCTGAACCTCCTAAAGGTCATCCATGAAAATTTAATAAATTCCACTAGGGTATATTGAAAGGCATATTGATACTTCCAACTTTATGGTTTTAAAAATTAACAATGAAATAAGAACTAATAACAGTAATCTATCCATCTGGGAAACATTAAACACCTTTCTAACAATATTACTTTTGATGTGATAAAGGTAAAAATCCAAATTTAATAAGAGCAGTGCTTTTGAGAAGACTAAAATTTGGTGTTCCTAATTTTTCTGACTTATTAGCAATTAGAATCTAATTATCAATAATGCCAAGAAGACAGGAGTACTCTCCAATGACATTAAAATGTATAACACAAAGATTTATAGTTAGGCATAATGTATAACACAAAGATTCATTGTTTGGCATAACAGCATTTCATATTTGAATCATTTAATAACATTTTCATCATTGCGTATTCTCCTGGAAATAACACACAATACAGACTTCAAAAAACCAGAGCTTTTGCTGGGGATATGTGCTCCTTCCAAAGGCAATTGATTGTGTGCAATATTCTGAGAATTAATTCCTCCAAAGGTAAAGTGTGGCTATCTGGGCTTCTGGTAATATCCTGAAAATTCACATATTCAAAAAGTCTTTTCCACTACAAACCACCATAAATGCTGGACAACAGAATATCGGCTCAACTGCCCAAATTATACTTTGGGGCTTTTGTACACAGTTTTTGCACAGAAATATTTAAGTGAATATAAATTAATTGAAATGTTTTCCCGGTGGATATTGAGGGAGAAACAGAAAAATCCAAGACAATCCCCTGTGGAAGAAAATTCTCCGACCCAAATCTCAACCGAACTCAAAGCGCTGAACAGCGCATCAATTAAGACCTGTCAAATATAATCACACTATCTAATAGTTTTAAATACGCAAAATAAAGAGCACCAAAGTCAATGTATTTCAGAAATAACAACAACAAAACCAGAGCACCCCGATGCAATTAGGCCTCAAGGAATTCCAAAGTAGTGTATTAGGTATAGAAAATACATATGTATTTAGAAATGTTTACAGAGATTAGAGAGAATTTTTTAAAAAAGATTTGGCCTCTAAGACAGTTAACAATTCCAGTAAAGAAGAAAAGAGAAATTCAATGTTTGATATACATACATAAAAATAAATTTTAGGAAAATGAAAAGTCCATGTGATGACAGAATCCAAATTATATAAAAGATAGAAACCTCAATATTTGTTTTTACACATTTTAAGGAAAAAACAACCCTGAAAGCATAAAATGCAGAAAATAATGTTAATAATTCTTGAGTTTTCAAGTCCCTCTCACTGACTTTGGCACTTAGAGAACAGCCAGCACAGGCTCAGGATCACCAAATGGGCATTTCTGCCAAGGAGACAAAACTCATGAAAATGGAGCAGAAAGCTATGCACACAAGATGGATGGATGCTCCTCTCCCAGAGACCAGCAGGTTCAGGTGTAGAGGGAGTGGGCCAGGGAGGGGCTGTGAGCACCAACCTGGGAGGGGTGGCTAGACTTCCATGGGACCCTCCTGTCAGCAGGTTTAAAAATAGGCACATAGACCAATGGAACAGATGAGAGAACCCAGAAATTAACCCAAATACTTACAGCCAACTGATCTTCAACAAAGTGAACAAAAACATAAAGTGGGGAAAGGACATCCTTTTCAACACATGATGTTGGGATAATTGGCAAGCCACATATAGGGGAATAAAACTGGATTCTCATCTCTCACCTTATACAAAAATCTACTCAAGATGGATTAATAACTTAAACCTAATTCCTGAACTATAAAAATTCTAGAAGATAACACTGGATAAACCCTTCTAGACATTGGCATAGGCAAGGATTTCATGACCAAGAAACCAAATGCAAATGCAATAAAAACAAAGATAAATAGCTGGGACTTAATTAAACTAAAGAGCGAGCTTTTGCATGGCAAAGGGAACAGTCAGCAGAGTAAATAGACAACCCACAGAGTGGGACCCCTGACCCCTGACCCTGACCCCTAACCCCTAACCCTAACCCCTAACCCTAAACCCTAACCCCAACCCTCACCCTAACCCAACCCTAACCCCTAATCCCTAACCCCTAACCTCTCTTAACCCCTAACTCTAAACGTTGACTCCCAACCTCTAACTCTGACCCCCACCCCAACCCTAAACTTAACCCCAACCCCTAACCCTAGGTTTGTTACTACGTTTGTATTGACTATGTCAATGTTGATTATTATGATCACTGTCTTAGGACTGCACGGCAGTGAGGGGATTGCGGATCTTATATTAATATTTTTATATTGAGGCAGTGCATTAGCATTACAGGTGCTTGTTACATGAGCAATGGGGGTGTCATGTCTGCATTAGGAATGCTGCATTTGTCTTCCGAGGCTGCGGTATGTATCTCGCACTGCGGCCACCTCGCCTTGGCTGGGGAGAACCTCGGTGGGCAGGATTCAGAGGGGCTTTTGATTTCCCGTTTTCCACACTGAACCCTTCTAACTGGTCTCTGACACTGATTATTCAGGGCTGCAAACAGGAAGGATTTTATTCACCGTCGATGCGGCCCCGAGTTGTCCCAAAGCGAGGCAGTGCCCTCAAGGTCTGTGCTGAGGAGAACCTTGCTCTGCCTTCGCGGTGTCCCCGGGGTCTGTGCTGAGCAGAACACAGCTCCGCCCTCGCGGTGCCCCCGACCCGCCCAGGTCTGTGCTGAGGAGAACATTGCTCCACCTTCGCTGTATCTCCGAAGTCTGTGCAGAGGAGAAAGCTCCGCCATCACGACGCTCTCCGGGTCTGTGCTGAAGAGAACGCAGCTCCACCCTTGCAAAGGCCCCCAGCGCCGGGGCAGGCGCAGAGAGGCCCTCCCCCTGCCAGCGCCGGCGCAGGCGCGAAGAGGCGCACCCGAACCCGAATCCTAATCCTGACGCCGTCCTAAGAGCCCTGGGGAGACCTTAGGGAACAAGCATTAAACTGACACTCGAGTCTGTAGCCGGCTGTGCCAAAAGACTTGAGGTTGGGGTGATACGGGAGCAGGGGTCGGGGAAGAAAGCGTTCTGGTTTTAGACCCACAGGAAGATCTGTGAAGCGCTCTTGGGTAGAGCACATGTTGCCGGGCATGCCCTTGAAAACAGCCTAAGAAGAGGGGGCGTCTGGAAGGAACCGCAACGCCAAGGGAGGGTGTCCAGCCTTCCCGCTTCAACACCTGGACGCATTCCGGAAAGTTTCCTAAGAAAGCCAGAAAAATAATAAAAAATAATAATCCAGAGGCCAGGGGGCGCTAATGGGGCTTTACTGGGACTATCTGGCTTAATCCTCCAAACAACCCTGCCACAGCAGCCCATCAGTCCTCTGAGACAGGTGAGGAACCTGAGGTCGCAGGAGGACACCCAGAATGTCCAGGCAGAGCCCCCTAGGCCCCCACACCTCCCCCCGTGGCAACTCCAATCCCAGCTTTTTTCGTTAGTAAGGCACTCCGGCTGCAGGTCCACGCCCACTCCCCCAAGCGGGGAAGGAGCTTCGCGCTGCCGCCAGCTGGGGACTGGGCACCGCCCTCCCGCGGCTCCGGAGCCGGCTGCCACCAGGGGCGCGCCCGCGGTGTCCGGGAGCCTGGCGGCGCGTCTGCAGCGGCCAGTGCACCTGCTCCTGCCCTCACCGCGGTCTCTGCCAGGACCCCGACGCCCAGCCGGACCCTGCCCTCCAGCGGGGCTGCGGCTCCACAGCCTGCGACAGCAGCCCCACCTAGCATTCGGCGTGCTCCTGGGGGCAGAGGTCGCGGTGTCCTCAGGCTGTGGCGCCAGCCTGCAACCCCCACGCCGGGCTCGGGCCCCGGCTGAGGAGGGCGATGCTCCCTGGGTAGGGCGACCGGTCGCCTGGGCTGCGAGGGCGGCTTAGGGGCGGAAGCGGCGGTCCAGGGCCGCCTGATGCAGCAGCCTGTCCCAGCCGCGGTCCCTCCAGTCCCTCCCTGGCGGCTGCGGAGCCGTCCGAGGACAGGGGCCATAAACTCTCCAGAGCGGGAAGCCGCACCCTGGTGGCCCGGCTCCGCGCCCAGACCTGGCCGCAGCTGGCACCTGACCCGCTGCATGGGTCTCCAGGGAGCTCGCTGCCAACCTGGCACTGCAGCCTCGGCTCCCTCATACGCGCTCTGGTAGGTGCTAGGGACGACCCTATGGGCCAGCTTGCCACGCCAAGTCCCCAGGCCACACCCACCCTGGCTCCCTGGGCTAGGGGACTGGCTCCTCCTGTGGGTCGTGGGGCTGGCAGGCAGGGACTTTAGGGGAGAGGGAGGGACAGAGGGCAGCCCCTGCTGTGTGCGCAGCGAGGTCCTGCACAGGCCTCTGTTGCAGAGCGTGCAGCTTCAGCTGGGACTGGATTGCAGGTGGAGATGACTGTTTGTGCGCACACCTGGGGGTGAAGAGGACGCAGCCTGTCTACCTGACCCATGAAATGGAGGAGACTGTACCACAGAAGCAGCGGGTTCACTGCTCCATTGATGAAGCAAGTCTGGGACACACATGTAGCTAAGCTGCGACTTCTGTGCCAGCGGTCCCAACACCCACGCCTTCAGGAAGACACATGTGTGGGGGTTGCGTGCTTGTCAGGCCTGAGAGTGGAGAGTGGGGGCCAGAGACACTAGGTAGGGGGAACCCGCCCGAGGGCTCTGAGGGATGACGATGTAGGGAGCTGGTGGCAGAGATTGAGCTGGCCCAATGTTGCAGGGTGGGGACAGAGTCGAGGTCCACCCCGCCTCAGGTGGACAGCTGAACCTGAGTAGACATCAGGCCCCAGATCGACATCTGGCCCCAGGTAGATTCCTAGGCCCAAGGTGAATACTCAGTCTCCAGCCCTAGGGGAATTCAGTCTTAGATGACTAAGGACTGGTGTTCCTCTGGGGCCTCATGTCTACCTGGGCCCTGGGAGTGCACATGGAGCCAGATGTCTATAAAGGGCCTGAGTGTCCACTAGGGCCTGAGGTTCACCAGGAACATAGACACCCACCTAGGACCTCGTGTCCACCTAAAACCTGGTGTTCACCTGGGGTCTGGGTGACAACCTGGGATCTGATGTTCACCTGAGGCCCAGAGTTCAGCTGGTGCCTATGTCAGCCTGGCACCTGATGCACACGAGAGGACTAGGTGCCCACCTGAGGACTGGTGTTCTTGGGGAACTGGTGTTCAGCTGTGGATTGATGACCAACTGGGTCCTGGTGTCCTCCTGGCACCTGATGTCCACCTGGGACTGCATGCTTACCTAGGGTCTGGTGTTCCCCTGGGGCCTGGTGTGCCCCTGAGACCTGGGGTCCACCTGGGCCTAGTATCCACTTGGGGCCTCATATTCATCTGGAACATCATGTCCACTTGAGGCCTTGTAGTTACCTAGGGACTGGGTGTCCTTCTGGCACTTCAGTGTCCTCCTGGGGCCTGGGGTTCTCCTGGGGCCTGGGTTTACATCTCTGGCCTGATGTCCACCTTGGGATGGATGTCCACCTGGGGACAGATGTTCATTTGTGGCCTGAGTGTCCATCTCGTATCTAATGTCTACCTGGGGCCTGGTGTTTGCCTGAGGCCTTATATCCACCTGGGGCCTGGGCATCCATTTGAGGCCTGATGTCTAACTAAGACCCGGTGTTTAATTGGGGCACAGACTTCTTCCTGGAGCCCAATGTTCACCTGGAGCCTGAAGTTCACCTATGCCTGTTGTCTACCTGAGGCCTATGTGTCAACCTAGCGCCTGAAGACCACCCTGAGTTCAGTGTTCACCTGGGGACTGACATCTGCCTGGAGTCCTGGTGTCCACATAGGGCCTGGTATTGGCTTGGGACCAAAGTATTTACCTAGGGCCTGGGTGTCTACTTAGAGCCTGACTTCTACATGGTTCATTGTGTCAACCTGAGACCTGATGTCCACTTAGGGTCTAGGTAAGCTCCTTATGATTAAAGCCCACATGGGGGCTGAAACCATCTCACACCTTGTGTTAACCTAGGGCTTAGTGTCCACCTGAGGCCGGCCTGGGACCTGGTGACTCCCTGGGGTCAAGGTATCCACCTTGGGCCTGATGACCAATTGGGGCTTAAGGATCTACCTAGAGACTGGTGTCAACCTGGAACCTGATGTCCACGTGGGTTCTGGTGTACACCTTGGGCCTGATGCCCACCTGGACATGGGTGTACACTTTGGGCCTAGTGTGCACTGAAGCCTGGGAGTCAACCTGGGTCTTGATGCACACTTTTAGTCAAGTGTTTAACTGGGGCCTGATGAAATACTAGAGCCTGATTTACACCTGTGTACTGGGTCTCCACCTGGGGCCTGATGTCCACCTGCAGCCAGATATCCACCTGGCACCAGATGTCTACCAGGAATCTGGGTGTCCACCTGGAAAATGATGTATTCCAAGAGACTAGGCATGCACATTGGGCCTGGGGTCCACCTGGGTCCTGATGTCTACCTAAGGCTGGTATTGAACTGGGGCCTGTGTGTTCACTTGGAGCCTGATGTTCATTTGGAACCTGGTGTTCACCTAGGACATGGGTATCCACCTGGATCCTGATTTTCAGGTGGGGAGTGGATATAGACCTGGGACCTGATGGCCACCTATGCTATAAGTAACCCAACCACCTGAGGCCTGATATTCACCTGCGGCCTGATGTCCACCTGGTACCTGTGTGTCAATCTAGTGCCTGGTGTCCACTTGAGGACTAGGTAGACACCTGGGGCTTGGTGTCCACCAGAGACCTGGTGTTCATCTTGCAACCAGTGTCCACCTGGACCCTGTGTATCAACCTGTGGCCTAGGTGGCCACTTGGAGCTTTATGTGCACCTGGGGCCTGAGAGTTTCCTAGGATCTGATGACAACTGGGGCCCAGCGATCCACCTGGGACATCAGGCTCCAAGTGTATGCCCAGGCTCCATATGGACACCAGGCCAGGAGAATGCCAGCCCTTATCTGAACATCAGGTCCTAGATGGATGCCCAGGTCCCATATGTACATCAGGCCCCAGGTATACACTGGACTCCAGGTGGACACCAGCACTCAGTTGGATACACACACTCAAGGTGGACACCAGGCCCCACGTGAATTCCTACACTCCAGGTGAACATCAGGTCCCAAGTGGATACCTGGACCCCAGATGGATACCAGTCTCTAAATTAATACCAGGCCTCAGATGGTCCTTAGGAGCCATGTGGGCATTAGTCATCAGGAAGTTACCTAGGCCCAAAGTGGACATCAGGCCCCATGTTGACACAAGATCCAGTTGGAAGTCAGGCCCCAGGTGGACACCCAAGCCCTAGGTAAATACTTAGGTCCCAAGTTGACAGCAGGCCCTATGTGAACACTCAGAACTCAGGTGGACATGAGGCCTCAGGTGGACATCTGAGTTCATCTGGAACCTCATGTTACAGGCCCCATGTAAACACCGGGCCTTAGGTGGATACCCAATCTCTAGGTGGACATCAGAGCTCAGATTGACACAAAGACGCCAGTAGACATAATGTACTAATGAATATCCAGGCCCCTGGTAAATACCCAGGCCCCAGATTGACACCAGGGTCTATGTGGACACACAGGCCCCAGTTAGAAAATAGGCCCAAGGGAGACACTGGACTGGACATCAGGTCCCAGGCTGACAACCATGCTTCAAGTTGACACCAGGCCCCAAGTGAACATCTGGCCCCAGCTGAACACTAGTCCACTGGTGAATACCTAGGCCCAAGGTTGAAATCAGGCCCCATGTGAACACTAGACCCCAGATAAACACTTATACCCTAAGTGGGCATCAAGCCTCAGGTGGTTACCTGTTCCCAAGGTGAACATCAGGACCCTGATGGGCACCAGTTATCAAGTGGATTCCTAGGCCCCAGGTGAATATCAAGCCCTAGGTGGATACCAGGCCCCAGGTGGATACCAGGATCCTGGTAGACATCAGGTCCCAAGAGGACCCTAGAACCCAGGAGTACATCAGGCCACATTAACACGAAGGCCCCAGATGAATACCAGGCCAATTGTGGACATCAGGCCTGAGAAGGGTCCTCAGGCTCCAGGTGGACATCAGGCGCCAGGTGAACATCCAGCACTCAGATGAACATTAAGCTTCAGGTGGACATCATGCCTCAGGTGAACTCCAGGCCCCAGCTAAACATCAGGCCCCAGGTGGATGCCCAGGTTCCGGGTGCACATCTGGCCACAGTTGGACATTCAACCCTAGGTGACCATCAGGCCATAGGTGAATACACGGTTTCCAGGTGGACATCAGATCAAAGGTAAACATCAGTCCCCCAGTGGACATCAGGCCCAAGATGGACACTGAACTAGAGGTTTACATCAGGCCACACATTGACACCTGGTCCCAGGTGGACATCAGGCCCCAGGTGGATACCTAGGCTTCCAGTGAATTTGACACCAGGTTGACATTCAGGCCCCCAGTGGTCATCTGGCCTCATGTGAACACTCAGACCCCAGGTGCACATGATGTCTCAACTGGACACCAAACCCCTAGTTTGATACCCAAGGCCCAGGTGGACACCAGGTCCAAGGCTGACACTCAAGCCCTAAATGAATACCAAATTCTAGGTGAATAATTCAACCCAGGTGTTCATTAGGACCCAGCTGGATACCAGTCCCCAGGTTAACACAAGGCCCCCGGTGGGCACCTAGGCACCAGCTGGACATCAGGCCCTATGTAAACACCCGGGTCTCCGGTGAAAACCATGTCCCAGGTGGACATCAGGCACTACGTGGACACGGGTCCACAGGTGGACATCTAGCCGCTGGGCGACATGCAGCCCCAGGCGGTCATAACCATTTCCATGGATAAACCATTCCCAGGTGGATATCAGGCCTCAGGAGGATGGCAGTCACCAGGTAGCCATCAGGCCTCAGATAGACGCCAAGGTCCCAGATGTACAGCAGGCCCCAACTGAACCCCAGACTCATGTGGACATCAGGCCACAGGTAGACACCAAGCCTTAGGTAGATACCTAACTTCAGGTGGACATCAGACCCCAGGTGGACACCCAGTCCCCGGGTGGACAATCAGGCCCCAGGCACACATCAGGCCTTAAGTGGACACCCAGGCCCCAAGTTGATATCCAGCTCCCAGGTGATCACCAAGCCCCAGGTAGACACCAGGCCAAAGCTGAGCAACAGGATGCAGTAGATCATCAGGCCACAGCTGGATACCAGTCCCCGGTGAACACAAGGCCCCAGTGGGACACAGATCTAAGGCAGACATCAGGCCCCAGGTGGACATACAGGCCTGAGGTGGAATTCACCCTGAGGGGGACATTCGGCCCCAGGTGCGCATCAGGCCTCAGGTGAATAACCAGTCCCCAGGTGGACATTAGCCTGCAGGTCAACCACAGTCCCCAGGTTGATACCTGATCTCCAAGTGGCTACCCAATCTGCAGGGTAACATTAGGCCCCTGTAGGATCCCAGGCTGCAAGTGGATTCCTAGGCCTCTGGTGAACATCAGGTGCAGGTGTCCAAGCAGGTCCTGGGTGGACATAACTGTGTACAGGTAAGGAGTTGACCTGTGGGGAGGGTGAGCAGTCAGCAGCCCACTGGGGCCCTGAGAAAGTTTTCTGGAAGGAGGAGGCCGAGGGGATGGAAACTTAAAGAAGCGACCTCACTTCCTTGGCAACAGACCCTAACAGAACTAAGAATTCTGGTAACCAGGCCAGGCACGTTGGCTCACACCTGTAATCCCAGCACTTTGGGAGGCTGAGGCAGGAGGATCATGAAATCAGAAGATCGAGACCAGCCTGACCAACATGGTAAAACCACATGTCTACTAAAAATACAAAAAACAAACAAGGTCAGCAAATCGAGTCCATCCTGGCTAACACAGTGAAACCCCGTCTCTACTAAAAATACAAAAATTATCTGGGCATAGTGGTGGGTGCCAGTAGTCCCAGCTACTCAGGAGGCTGAGGCAGGAGAATGGCATGAACTCAGGACCCAGAGCTTGCAGTGAGCCAAGATCTCGCCACTGCACTCCATCCAGCCTGGGGGACAGAGCGAGACTCTGTCTCAAAAAAACAAACAAACAAACAAACAAACAAACACAAAAAAACTAGCCAGGTGTCGTGGTGTGTGTCTCATGCCTGTAATCCCAGCTACTCAGGAGACGGAGGCAGGAGAAGTGATTGAACCCAGTAGGCGGATGTTGCACTGAGCCGAGATCATGCCACTGCACTCCAGCCTGGCCAACAGAATGAGACTATGTCTCAAAAAAAAAAAAAAAAGAAAAGAATTCCAATAACCAGGCACCCACATCCTAGAGTTAGCCCCGTAGCCAGCTCACTTGGTGGGAGACACTCAAGAGAGCAAGATGTTGTGCTGCATCCCCACATCTCCAGGCTCTGGCTTCAGGAATGGCAGAAGTGAGAGCCTTTCTTTGCTGATGACGCCCTTGTAGGCTCATCCCTCACCCCAGATGCCTCTGGCCATTTGGCAGAAGCCCCCCCCCCCCAGGTACCACAGGACAGGAGTCACCAGGTAGACATCAGGCCCCAGATAGACACCAAGGTCCCAGATGTACAGCAGGCACCAACTGAACCCCAGACTCATGTGGACATCAGGCCACAGGTAGACACCAAGCCTTAGGTAGATACCTAACTTCAGGTAGACATCAGACCCCAGGTGGACACCCAGTCCCCAGGTGGACAATCAGGCCCCAGGCACACATCAGGCCTTAAGTGGACACCCAGGCCCCAAGTTGATATCTGGCTCCCAGGTGATCACAAAGCCCCAGGTAGACACCAGGCCATAGGTGAGCAACAGGATGCAGTAGATCATCAGGCCACAGCTGGATACCAGTCCCCAGTGAACACAAGGCCCCAGTGGGACACAGATCTAAGGCAGACATCAAGCCCCAGGTGGACGTACAGGCCTGAGGTGGAATTCACCCTGAGGGGGACATTCGGCCCCAGGTGCGCATCAGGCCTCAGGTGAATAACCAGTCTATATATATATATATATATTATATATATCTATATATATTGTGTTGGATATATATATCTATATCTATATATCTATATATCTATATATATGTATATCTATATATATCTATATTTATCTATATATATTGTGTTGGATAAATCCAACAGCACATTAAAAATTTAATTCACCATGATCAATTGAGTTTTATTCTAGAAATGCTAGGATGATTCAACATATGCAAATCAATAAATGTGATTCATCACATAAAGTTAAAAACAAAAACCACAGGATCATTTCAATTGATGTTGAAAAGACAATCATAAAATAGGAGAAAATATTTGTAAACTATCCATCTGACAAGGGATTAACAACTAGAATATATAAGGAGCTCAAACAACTCTATAGAAAAAATCTGATCATCCAATTTAAAAATGGGCAAAAGATCTTGCTCAAAAGAAGACATATAAATGGCAAACAGGCATGTGAAAAAGTGCTCAACATCATTGCTCATCAGAGAAATGCAAACCAAAACTACAAGACGAATCATCTAACCCTAGTTAAGATGGCTTATATCCAAAAGACAGGCAGTAAGAAATACTGGCTAGGATGTGGAGAAAAGGGAACCCACTATTGGTGGGAATGTAAATTAGTACAATTACTATGGAGAACAGTTTGGAGGTTTCTCAGAAAAAAAACAAAAACAAAAATAGAGCTACCATATGACCCAGCAATGCCATTGGTAGGTATATATACGAAAGAAAGGAAATCAGGATATCTGAGAGATACCTGCACTCCCATGCATATTGCAGCACTATTCACAATAGCCATGATTTGGAAGCAACCTGTGTGTCCATGAACAGATGAATAAATAAAGAAAATGTGGTTAATATACACAATAGAGTAATATACAGCCATGAAAAAGAATGAGATCCTGTTATCTGCAACAACATGGATAGAACTGGAGGTTATTATGTTAAATAAAATAAGCCAGGGACAGAAAGACAAATTTTCCATGTTCTCACTTATTTGTGGGAGCTAAAACTTAAAATAACTGGATTTATGGAGATAGAGAATAGAGTAATGGTTACCAGAGATGGAAGAATAGTAGGGTTAAGGGGAAGAATGAATAATCGGCATAAAAATACAGTTAGATAGAATAAGTAAGATCTAGTATTTGATAGAACAACAAGGTGACTATAGCCAAACATAATTTATAGTACATTTAAAAATAACTAAAAGAGCATAATTGCATTGTTTGTAACACAAAGAAAGGGTAAATGTTTGAAGTGATGGATACCCCATTTACCGTGATGTAATTATTATACATCGTATGCCCGTAGAAAAATATCTCATGTACCCCATAAACATATACAGTCAGTGTGTACCCATAAAAATTTAAAAAGGAAAATATAAAATAAACAACCTGATATTACAACTCTAGTATCTAATAAAAAAAGAACAAACTAAACCCAAAGTCAGCAGAAGGAAAGAAATAACAAGGATCTGAATAGAAATAAACAGAATAGAGACTAAAACTACAATAGAAAAGAACCCAATGTAATAAAGAGTATTTTTTTCAGAAGGATAAACAAATCAACAAGCCTTTAGCCAGACCAAGGAAAAAGGAGAAAGGACTCAAATATTAATACAATCAAAAGTGAAAAGGGAGACATTACAACTGATACCACAGAAATATAAAAGCTCATAAGAAAAAAAGCTCATAAGAGAGTACTATGAAAAATTGTACAGTAACAAATTGAATAAAGCAGAAGAAATAAATAAATTCCAAGATACATGCAAGATACCAAGACTGAATCATGAAGAAAAAGTAAGTACGAACAGACCAAAAATGAATAAGATTGAATTGTAATAAAGTCTCCCATCAAAGAGAAGCCCAGAATAGCTTTACTGTTGTATTCTACCAAACATTTAAATAATTAGCAATCCTCAAACTCTTCCAAAAAAAATCTAAGAGGAAGGAATACTTCACTTCCAAACTTTTTTTACATGGCCAACATTACTCTGATACCAAAGTCAGCCAAGAACAAGAAAAAGAAAAGAAAAGAAAAATTACAGGCCAATATCCCTGATGAACATAGATGCAAGAATCCTCAATCAAATACTAGCACACTGAATTCAACAGCACATTAAAAAGATAACTTACCATGCTCAAGTGGATTTACCCCAAGGATACAAGGTGGATCAACATACATAAATCTATAAATGTGATATACAACATTAACAAAATGAAGCCCCAAAATTATATAATCATCTAATTAGATGCAGAAATGGCATTTGAAAAATTCAACATTGTTTCATGAAAAGATTCTCAACAGAGTTGGTTTAGAAGAAATATACTTCAACACAATAAAGACCATGTATTACAAGCCTACAGCTCACATTATACTCAATGTACCCTCCAAATCTCAGGATGAATTGTGATCCCCAGTGTCAGAGGGGGTGCCTGGTGGGAGGTGTCTGTGTTATGGAGGTGAATCCCTCATTGGATGGTGATGGTATCCAACCCAACCCTCAGGAATGGGTTTGCATTTTACCCGTAGTAGAGTTACCATCAGATCTGTTGGTTAAAAAGAGTGTGGGACAACCCCCTCCCCACCTTTCTCCCTCTCTTGCCATGTGACACACCTGCTCCCCCTTTGCTTTCTTCAATGAGTAAAAGCTTCCCTAGGCTTCAGAAGCTAAGAAGATGCTGATGCCACGCTTGTACTGACTGCAGGACCATGAGCCAAATAAACCTCTTTTCTTTATAAATTACTCAGTCTCAGGTATTCCTTTATAGCAATGTAAAATGGACTAAAACAAATGTTATTGGTGATTTATGCAATGGCCATTTTAAGGGTGTGGTGGGGGGAAGCCATATTTAAATATATTAGAGGTGAGAAAGACATGAGGAAAAGATGAAGATTCCTTACGGTCTCTCAAGTATGGCAGTCATGCTCCTGCCTTGTGGCCCGTATACATGCCATCTCCTCTGCCTGGAATGCTCTTTTCCCAGATATTTATGTTTCTTTCCCCCACACTCCCTTCAAATCTTTGACCAAATATCACCTTTTCAGTGAGGCCTTTCCTGACTAGCTATTGAAAATTCCACCCAGGGGAATTGAGAGATATCGGTCAAAAGGTACAATGTTTCAGCTAAACAGGATGAATAAGTTTTGGAGATCTACTGTACAACATAGTGACTGTAGTTAATAGTCATGTGTTATACCATTGTCCCTAAATATCTGCAATATCTGGGGGGTGATTTGTTCCAGGACTCCCCAAGGACACCGAAATCCTGGGATGTTCAAGTCCCTTATATAAAATGATGTAATTTTATATTTGCATGTAACCTATGCATATTCTTCCATACACTTTAAATCATCTATAGATTACTTATAATACTAATAAAATATAAATGTTTTATAAATAGTTGTTATAACGTATTTTTTTTATTTTTACTGCTTTTATTGTATTTTTTGTGGGTTTTTTGTCCTAATAGTTTCTATCCAGTTGGTTGGATGCCTGAATGTGGAACTCATGGAAACATAGGGCCAAAAGTATACTTGAAGTTTTTAGAAGAGATTTTAAATGTTCTCATACAATAAAATGAAAGTATGTGGAAGTGATAAATATGTTAGTTTGAATTAATCGTTTCACCATGTATACATATCAAAAAATCATCTTGTATGCCACAAATACATACAGTTTTTAAAATATAAAATAAAAAATATTCAATCACCTATTATAAAGCAAGCACATATTGAACAAGTGCCAAGTTAATCTCATATACTGGATAATGATTCCATGGAAAGTAGCCTTGCTTAATTGGGAAAAGACCCAAGTGACAGAGTAGCTCCCTATGGAAAATTGTAACTGGTTTAAGTGACAGCTTAAACTCCAGAATGTCTCACCAAACAGTCAAATATATCTCTGCTCATAAGTATATTTCTCAATGAATTGTTATCAACTGATACTCCTGTGTAAAGGTACCTAGTTCAAGAAACTGAATATTATCAGCATCCCAAAATCCCAACCTTTTCATTGAGGCTTTCCCTAACTACCTATTGAAAATTGCGCCCAGGGGATATGGGGAGACGTTTGTCAAAGGGTACAATGTTTCAGCTAAAAAGGATGAATAAGTTCTGGATATCTACTGTACACCATTAACCTTAAGAGAGATCTCAAAAAGGAAAAGAACTCACACACAAAAAAATTGCTGTAAAGGATACACATGAAAGACATAGAAGGGAGGTGGAGGGAATGCAGAGAGCTGTGGGCTGAGTGTGAGCCTCAAGGCTTTTTCAGCATAAAACACCGCAAAGACTGTTGATAAGCAAGCCTGTCCCCCATTTACTAAGCTTAGGCAATTAACTTTATGTGTCAAAATTTTATCAGTACCCAACACTGATTTAAGGACTCAACACTCTGAATTGAGAAAACCTAAAGTACAAAAAGTTACCTCAAAGGTAGGTGAGACTCTCTAACCGCTCAAATATATGTCTTCAATGTGTTCTAATTGCAAATTACTTACAATTTGGCACAACATATTGGGAGAGAGGAGTAGTGGAATGGTAAAAATCAAACCTAACTTCAAAATATTGTAAATTATGGTTCTAAGATCAATCTTAATGACCCAATATGTGCAATGAGGCTCTTCTCTTCCTCCTCCATGTTACAGATGGGAACACGAAAGACTAAGCCATTCACATTACCCTAGGGAAGGCAGAGGGAAAGGGCAGTCCAGGTGTCCTGAACTGTACTGCTCACAGGGGAGGCCTGGCCCACCACTAAGTCTGGATACTTCCAAACCTATCCTTACATGAAAACAATATCTGGGGACCATTTCATTCTAATTGGTTTCGGGTCCTAGTTTCTGCCCAGTGGTCAAATCCAGAAACCCAGTCAGGACCTAGTTTCAATGAGTGGCTCTGAGCTTAGCTAATTAATGGCTTCCTGGCCCAAGAAAGGCTTCCTGTTTTTGTTTGTTTAATTAATTGTTTGCTATTGCGCTAAAATACTTTGTCTTACCTGACAATGAGTGAGCTCAGGATTATCTTGGCACATTTGGTTATGTGGTTTGAGCCCTCCCAGAGTGTTAATTGTCTACCAGCTACCCATTAAAGTTTAATACGGCAGAAGACAATGAGCTTACTAGAGATGTCACAGAGCCTTTGTTGCCATGGCAATAATTGTTGGACCAGATCACAGAGAAGGAAGTAAGAGACAAGAAAGAGAAAGGTGCAGGAAAAGCTGAAGCATAATAGTTTTTTAAAATACTCTCTAAACTTATAATGGAGTAATGTGTTTAAATTTGTGGGGGAAACCACTTTATGAGAAAGGCTGATTTTCCAACATCCTCTTAAAGAGATATGGTTTTGGTTTTATGGAAGAATGGTTTCTAAGCTACATTTCATCTTTTTTTTTTTTTTTTTTTTTTTTTTTTTTAGACGGAGTCTCGCACTGTCACCCAGGCTGGAGTGCAGTGGTGCGACTTCGGCTCACTGCAACTTCCGCCTCCCAGGTTCAAATGATTCTCCTTGCCTCAGCATCCCAAGTAGCTGGGATTACAGGCACCCGCCACCATGCCTGGCTAGTTTGTTTTGTATTTTTAGTAGAGACCAGGTTTCCCTATGTTGGCCAGGCTGGTCTCGAACTCCTGACCTCATGATCCGCCCGCCTCAGCCTCCCAAAGTGCTGGGATTACAGGTGTGAGCCACCATGCTCGGCCTACATTTCATCTTAAAATAAAAGTAAACGAATTGGGATTAATTTGGAAGCACACTGACTACTATAATACCAAGAAGTTCGTACGAAGGCAGATAGATAGCCATTAAAATGGCAGAAATTCAACAAAATTTTTAATAGATGATTGTGTCAGTGAGAAATAGTTTTGATGTGCAGTATGAAACCTCAAATATTCCAGGGGCTCCTGCAAAGTGTAAACTTGTAGTATCCTTGACTTAGAACTGAAAGAACAGCAGGATTGGAGGTGGGTGAAAGAAAGAACCTAGTGATCTAGGTAATGTCACTTTGGATAACATTTGCTCTAAATTGCTCCCAGCATCAGTGAGTAGAGCTTGGGAGGAGTGAGTGTGTATTTCAAAGCCCAGGGCTTCAGTCAGTGTGAATGAGACAATGAGGATTATCCTGCCCTCTTGTGCTTCTGAGCCAACGTGCCAGGGCTTAAAGAGGAGAGGAAGGAAATGAAGAAGTCACAGAGTGCCTGATTGAAGAAGCAAAGTGCAGAAACACATCCTCCTCCCGCCTCCCTGTAGAAGTCAACCTCCCCCTTGACTGCCCATCACTATCAGCATGGGATGGTGGTATATTTACTTAATTAGCTAAACGTGAATAGAGCTTAAAGTTTAGCCCTTAGGTGGGATTTTGCCGACATAGACTTCCTAGGACTTTTGTCCTATCACAGTGGCCTGTTGCACTGTGAGCTTCTTGTGTCAAAGGTTAATTAATCTTGTCTCTCTAGAGTCTAATGTTCAAATGCATGTTCATTTAACTAGGCTGTTTATTAAGTATAGTGATTTAGTGACAAGATTATTTAAGAAAAAAGCCCCAAAGGTAACTTATATTGTTGACCAGAGTAAATTAAAGGTGTAAACATTTAATAACACCTAGAAGCCATATTCAGAATAAGTATAATTTTTACTAGTTATTCTAATCTTTTGAAAGAAACATCACAGTTAGAAATGAAAAAGACCATATTACCACTGACCCCACAGAAATAAAAAATAACCATCAGAAACTACTACAAACACCTCTATGCACACAAACTTGAAAACCTGTAAGAGATGGGGAACTTCCTGGACACACCAATAACGTGCTCCAAAATTGCATCTGTAATAAATAGCCTACCAACCAAAAAATATATATATTTTAAAAAGCTCAAGACTAGATGGATTCACAGCCAAATTCTACCAGATATGCAAAGAAGAGCCAGTACCATTTTTGCTGAAATGATTCCAAAAAAACTGAGGAGGAGGGACCCCTGTCCAACTCATTCTATGAGGCCAGCATCATCCTGATACCAAAACCTGGTAGAGACACAACAACAACAAAAAAAACTTCAAGCCAATATCATGGATGAATACTGATATAAGGCAGCTTGTGATTAGTATCATGACAAAGACACAAAGATGGTAAAATAAAAATGCAAGGATGGGGCTGGGTGCAGTGGCTCACGCCTGTAATCCCAGCACTTCAGGAGGCCAAGGCAGGTGGATGACAAGGTCAAGAGATAGAGACCATCCTGGTCAACACGGTGAAACCCCGTTTATACTAAAAATACAAAAATTAGCTGGGTGTGGTGGCGCATGCCTGCATTCCCAGCTACTCAGGAGGCTGAAGCAGAAGAATTGTTTGAACCTGGGAGGCAGAGGTTGCAGTGAGCTGAGATCATGACACTGCATTCAGCCTGGGGACAGAGCGAGATTCTGTCTCAAAAAAAAAAACACGCAACAATGGAAAATGTGCTTTGGTTAGGGGAAGAGAGGAAAACATTTTGGGAAAAAAAAATGTCTTTTGAACTGGACCTTGAAGGAGGGTTTGTACAGATGTAGATGGAGATAAATAGAATTCCAAATACAGAAAATGATCACAAAGAAGAGAACATAAGAAACTGAAGCTATTCAGAGAATGAAATGCTGTCTACTGTCTAATTTATCTGCAAAAGAGAGTAGGGAAAAATAACACCAAGAAAGTCATTTGAAGTCAATTTGTGGAGAACTTGGGAACTTGAAATCATTGACAGCTTTTGAGCAGACGAGAATATCAAAGCTATGTTTTAGAAGTTTCTAAGTATTATGACTAAGTGATAATAAAGGTCTGAATAAACATTTTCCTCTGTAGTCTCTCAAAGTGGAAGTTTGCTTTTAGACAGATGTCTGTGGTCCTAGGGCATACATCCCTGATGTCCTCAACTACTTCACAGCACTTGGTATGAGCATTCACTCACACATGAGTGTTTAGTTACACTATGTTGGCCCCTAAATGTCATAAAGTAAAAATAGAAGAGATACTAATAAATACAAGTAAATACTTCTCTCTATTAATTGGGAAGTCACATGTTCCTCTGAAGTATTTCTGTTAATTAACTTAAATGTTGCTACTTCTTATACTTTCTTCTCATATCTAAAGGATTCTGGCAAAAAAGTGCCATCCTTCTAAAAGTTATTTCTAAATTCTGTAAGTTTTTGTTCAATGTGTGACAATGTTGGAACCTCAGTATTTTCCTCACTGGGCTGTATATCCTCCAATATATGCACAGTAACACTTGAAATGTTCCTAAACATTATGTCAAAACTTTTGGTAACATTTTGTATCTTATTTCTCCTCAGACTGTGTCTTCCAGAAGATTTTCTGGAATCCATCTGGTGGGCAAGCTCTTTGTAAATAATGATGCCTTAGAATAGTTGTCATTACTCTTTACTGATTCTTCAGAGAATATGTAATCATTAACTTTTTAAAGATTCATCTTGGAAGATAACTTTCCTAATGCTATAGAGGCTACATCCCAGGAGAATGTGAGTTTCATAAAGTGCATTTTTAATTTTGGGGCCGGCCACAATAAAACTCTGTCTAGCTGAAGACATAATATGATTTATAAAATAAATCATTTAGAGATTTGGTTCCTGTCAAAACGATGATGGCTTCACCTTTTGAGCACTGCTGAGAATCATGACACTCCTGTGTCAATCCCTTTTCATTCCATAATTTCTTAATGTTGGTTTATTAATGATTCTGGTTGGAAGCCTATTAAAGAGACATATATTACTAAAAGAAGCACAAACATAACTTCTAACTAGTCATACCAAAAGACTTCCCAGAGCACTGGTGTAGAGAGCAAGTTGGAAGAAAAACTTTTGAAAATTTGTGTTTCTGCTCAAAATGTCCTCTTGACATCTAGGACTCACATCCCTCCATATTTCTGAGGAAAAGAAAAGTTTTTTCCAGGTAACTCAAATCCCTAATATATTTTTATAAGAATGTAGGAAGAAGGAAGTTTACCTATAACAAAATAAGTGTTTGATTTCTGTCATCTGGTAAAAATTTTCAATTTTAAAAAAAGCATATAAGGAAAATCAATCTCAAAATTTTATGAAATACCTTCAAAAGTAAAGTTTAATGTCTAGATCTTTGCAAACTTTTGTACATAATGACTAAATCAATATTATATTGATTTTATCAATATAATAATCACTATATCAGTTTATGAAATTAAGGTAAAAGATTAATCAGAAGCTTAAAGCCTTTGCTTTCTACAGAAAACATTGCAGCTTTACAATATTAATATTAAAAATCAATATTGGTGAGTAACATTAGATAATCACTTAAGCTAACAACAGCAGCAATAGAAATTCAGAGATAATGGCTTTAACGTGATTGCTACCAATTTATTTTAAAATATGTGCATTTCTTTTGCATATGTAAATAATGTTAAGTAATATGTTTAGCTGAAATGTAAATGGTCAAAACTTTCTTTACTGAGTCTATTGCACCATAAGTTGGGTTTGCAGTAAGAAACTAACACATTTGTGCCTTCTCAAAGTACTAACTTTGAGTTGTATGCTATCCAGAAACTATATTCAATCATTTCTGTCTCAAAATAATGACCTTACAAAAGGAATTTAACTTTACCTAGTTCTATCACGATTGCATATTAAGGAGAGATTTAGAAGATGGCAGAAGTTTGTTTTTGTTCAATCAGCTACCTACGAAGCCCAAAACTCATATACTGTATAGCCGAGAAAAAGTAAACTACATTCTCTTCCTAATTATTCTTTTGAAAAATGACTTCATGTTCATTATCTTCTCTTCATTCTTAAAAAAGGAACACATTTTATAAAAGAGTCCTGACTGATAATGTGTCCCTTGACCTTGCAGGTCACTGGCCTAATGAATGTCTCTGAGCCAAATTCCAGCTTTGCTTTTGTAAATGAATTTATACTCCAAGGTTTCTCTTGTGAGTGGACAATTCAGATCTTCCTCTTCTCACTCTTTACTACAACATATGCACTGACTATAACAGGGAATGGAGCCATTGCTTTTGTCCTGTGGTGTGACCGGCGACTTCACACTCCCATGTACATGTTCCTGGGAAATTTCTCCTTTTTAGAGATATGGTATGTCTCTTCTACAGTTCCCAAGATGTTGGTCAACTTCCTTTCAGAGAAAAAAAACATCTCCTTTGCTGGATGTTTTCTCCAGTTTTATTTCTTCTTCTCTTTGGGTACATCAGAATGCTTGCTTTTGACTGTGATGGCCTTTGATCAGTACCTTGCTATCTGCCGTCCCTTGCTCTATCCTAATATCATGACTGGGCATCTCTATGCCAAACTGGTCATACTGTGCTGGGTTTGTGGATTTCTGTGGTTCCTGATCCCCATTGTTCTCATCTCTCAGATGCCCTTCTGTGGCCCAAACATTATTGACCATGTTGTGTGTGACCCAGGGCCACGATTTGCATTGGATTGTGTTTCTGCCCCAAGAATCCAACTGTTTTGCTACACTCTAAGCTCATTAGTTATTTTTGGTAACTTCCTCTTTATTATTGGATCCTATACTCTTGTCCTGAAAGCTATGTTGGGTATGCCTTCAAGCACTGGGAGACATAAGGCCTTCTCTACCTGTGGGTCTCATTTGGCTGTGGTATCACTGTGCTATAGCTCTCTTATGGTCATGTATGTGAGCCCAGGACTCGGACATTCTACAGGGATGCAGAAAATTGAAACTTTGTTCTATGCTATGGTGACCCCACTCTTCAATCCCCTTATCTATAGCCTCCAGAATAAGGAGATAAAGGCAGCCCTGAGGAAAGTTCTGGGGAGTTCCAACATAATCTAAGGCATATTAGATTATTCCTCCATGATCAGATCAGTACAGTCTAACAAAGAGAAATCAGAATTATATAGTTATTTAAATCTAAAAAATATGGACCTAGTGATATTGACTATATCAGCCTATGAAATTAAACACCTGTTGGACCCCTTACAAATTAAAGTTGCCAAATCATATAGATAAATGGAAGCGTGTGGTTTCCCTTTGGCACCTAGACTGAGTATTAACTGAGGAATACACATATTTGGGTGTTTTCTGGATAGTTTCCATCTGATTCATCTGTGATAAAAATTCTTTATGTTCTATTTTACTTAAATTTATTGTTCTGAGATTGACAAAATTATAGCTATGTTATTTTGTTTGGTTGGTTGTAAATAAAAGAAGAAAAAATATATTTTCTGATTGTGATTCTTATCATATTTGGGTTTATTATTTTGGTGACATGGTCATTACTAATACATAAGCCCTTATAAGCAATTTATCAACATTTTTGTAGGACAATAAAATATTCTAGCCTAATGATATCCAAACATTACCTCCTTCTGGACCCCTAAAGGGCAGATTCTAAATCCATCTATAATAATATCAGTCAAAATATTCAGAAATGCATTGTTCTAAATACCTAATATTTTTACCTAAATAAGATATCACCAACAACATGATAGGTCAATTTACCGAGTTTTAGATAATAGAATATCTCCCCTAAAGATTGGACAGGGCAATGGTGTACTTGTGGATACACTACTTAAGTTCAAAAAATAAAATAAAATCAATGGCAGTTCATTGTCATTTGCTGCTAAAAGAATGTGAACATAACATGAAGGAAAATTTTTGAAGGAAAAAAACATTTATAATTCAATTGCTCTAATGTATCTATTTTTGTTAATATGTCTGTTTCATGTGATTTAATGTTAAACTCGCTCCCATTTATAGCAAGTTTTTATAATTATCATTCATAGAAAGCATAATATTTTATTGAACTAACGTGCCATGAATTGTGAATTTTTATGTGGTGAGATGAACATTGTCCTAGACGAAGGGCCTTCCTTCCAAGAAGCTAAGAGCTGACTAGTAAAAGGGAATTTTCAGAAGGGATATTAGGAGAAAAATGAATGCCTCTACTACACAAGAATGACTTCTCACAGAATTTGTACTGCAGCATTCTGGGGTAAGGTTACTGAACACTCCAACATCTTCCTTCCTTCTACCACCAATCTTTTTGTTGAACATTACAGTTATCCCATTTTTTTGTTATAAAATAATATCTCAATAAAATCTTCATAAAGATTTGCCTTGATAATATTTTGCAAACCTAAATTAGGACTCATCATCTAATCTGAAACAGACTGTCCCAGAAAATACAGAATATAAGAATATGATGTGTGTGCAACAATTTTCCTTTCAGATTTTTTGTCTTAGAACAGTTTATCGGGAAAGAGATCATTATTCAGTTCAAAAGGTAAGAATGCATTTGTGAATTGGGGCCCGGACATTCCAGGTAGAACAATTATTTGCTCCTTTCATGTAAGACAGTATCAAGCTTTTACTCAATCTTATTAGAACTCTGCCATATCTCTCACTTGTATAGCCGCTGAGGATCTTTCCTCTTTCTTTACTCCTTTCCAGGGTGTATGACTTTTAAGTTACCTGAGTTCTGATCAGCAAACGGACTCAAGAAGAACAGGTAGTCAAGGCAGGCAATATTTCCACCACAGTTTCAGAACTCCCTACTTTGTATTACTAAGTTAATACATTTGTGCAGCCACTACCTTTGCAAAGGTTTCTTCTTACAACCTCAAATACTATGACTGGTTCACAACCTTTTCCATAGTGCTAAATTATTTGACCAAACACTGCATATATACCATATTTTTTCAAAGCCAAACTGTATCCCAAAGAGAGAGAAGGAGAGAGAAAGAATAGCAATAAAAATACAGTGTTATTTCAGGTTGATATTTAAAAATAATTGTGCTGGTTAATGGTTTCCTTGGGGGAAATGACAATTGAAAGTCGGTATTTTCTACTTTCAAATACAAGTCATGGTGTTTATTAGCTCCCTTTAAATGCTCACTAAGCTGAACAAACTTTGACTCTACCCTCAATTACAACTAATTCCCTCACAAAGGAAAATTTATTTGTACAACCAAACATTATGTACATTCAAGATTACTAGAAAACTTAGGACATAAGGTGCAAGTGCGACAATATTATGAGAAAAGAAAGACTGTGTATTAGTTTAACAGGTTTACATATGCAAATTCACCACCACAGGGTTTGTTCTCTTGGCAACATTGAAAATAATAATAATTAACGTTTTAAGTCAACTATTTTGTGTCAGGCAATATTCCAAGTCTTTTCTATGTATTATTTTATTTCCTACTTATGAAACCCAAAGAAATCAGGTCGGTATTATTGTATCTCTAATTTTTGAAGAGTGAAACAGGCAGAAAAGGTAACTTGCCTAGTTGGAGATGGCGTCTGATCTCAGGCAGGCTAACAATGGAGCCCACAGTTTTTACTACTATCGGGGGAAATGACCGACACTATAGAATGAAATAGATTGGATCAAATCTAAGTCACTGATTGTGTGAGCTTATGCAAATTATTTGACCTTTCTGCCTAGATTTGTTTAGACTATAAAATATAACTAATGATAATACTTCTGTCAGACAGTGGATTTGATGAATAAATGAGGTAAATCAAGGTAGGATCTTACACATAGTATTTATGGAATCTATTTCAGTTAATATTATTAATGTCTTTCATTTGTAGAGCTCTTCAGCATTTCCCACTTTTATATAGTTGTTCAGTTCATCCTCACAAATTCTGTCATCACACAGTTAAGGTAGACATTCCCATACTCATTTCACTGATGAGATTCAAAGAAATCAAGTATACTGTCCAAGGTCACCCATAGTAAGTGAAGGAGCAAGTTCTTCTGACTTCAAGTTCAATAAGAATTCTGCTGTACCATACATCCTATTCTGGGAAATGTGGCTAAGTTCTGCGTAGCTAACTTCAGAACTACACGGCCATGTAAGCCAAAGAGCTGGATTTACCCCAGAAATTAATGCTGTAGAGAAGAAATGAGTGCAGTAGAAGAACTAAGGGATTTCTTTCCAGTAGTCTTAAGGTAATAACTACTCAAATTATACAAATATTTAAGTAAAATGTATTTCACGTGCAAAATATGTCACTGAGTGAAAATGGCAGATCATGAAACAATATTATTATATAATCTCACACAAACATGAAGTCATGGGATTATGGGTAATTAAGATTCGTTGTTTCCTCTTTTATGCTAATATCTTTATTTCCTAATTTTTCCATGACAAATATGCATTTTTTGTCCAATTTACAAACGACATGTAGTTAAGAAAAAATGAATGTTTACAAATGGATGTATAATTTAAAGCAATGCTTTTAGACACACCACTTACCCACGCTTTCCCTCCACTTTGTGTGTAAGGAAAGGATAATGCTACTGTCTTTGGTAAGCTTTTACCACGTCTTTACAGAGCTTCTCAAGTACTTTTCCACGTGGGGTCACTTTGTGGAGAGGAGTTAATTTGGCACCCTTGTCCTTCTATTTCACTCAGAAGCAGCTCTTTCTGCAAAGGAGAGAGTGGTCCATGGTAGCAAACCCTGGCCTTGTGGTTTTCATTCTAGATTCTTAGAACAACAACAACAACAACAACAACAACATCAACAACAACAAAAGACAGAGACAGAGAGAGAGAGAATGGAGGAACATGTCATACAATCAAATGAATCTTCCCAAACAAGAGCTTTACCCGGGGACTTCCATCTACACTTGTACACATCTCTCCAGCCAAGCTCCCTACTTACTACCAATACAAGAACCAACTTTAATTAAAAGAGAGTTTGAATTGTTATGTTTTTGATACCTACCTTTTTTTTATTATACTTTGATTTAGGGTATGTGTGCACAAAATGCGGGTGTGTTACATATGTATACATCTGCCATGTTGGGGTGCTGCACCCATTAACTTGTCATTTAGCATTAGGTATATCTCCTAATGCTATCCCTCCCCCCTGCCCCCACCCCACAACAGGCCCTGGCGTGTGATGTTCCCCTTCCTGTGTCCATGTGTTCTCATTGTTCAATTCCCACCTATGAGCGAGAACATGCAGTGTTTGGTTTTTTGTCCTTGCGATAGTTTGCTGAGAATGATGGTTTCCAGCTTCATCCATGTCCCTACAAAGGACATGAACTCATTTTTTATGGCTGCATAGTATTCCATGGTGTATATGTGGCACATGAACTGAAACAAATTTGCAAGAAAAATACAAACAATCCCATCAAAAAGTGGGCAAAGGATATGAACAGACACTTCTCAAAAGAAGACATTTATGCAGCCAAAAGACACATGAAAAAATGCTCATCATCACTGGCCATCAGAGAAATGCAAATCAAAACCACAATGAGATACCATCTCACACCAGTTAGAATGGCAATCATTAAAAAGTCAGGAAACAACAGGTGCTGGAGAGGATGTGGAGAAATAGGAACACATTTACACTGTTGGTGGGACTGCAAACTAGTTCAACCACTGTGGAAGTCAGTGTGGCGATTCCTCAGGGATCTAGAACTAGAGATACCATTTGACCCAGCCATCCCATTACTGGGTATATACTCAAAGGATTATAAATCATGTTGCTATAAAGACACATGCACATGTATGTTTATTGCAGCACTATTCGCAATAACAAAGACTTGGAACCAACCCAAATGTCCAACAATGATAGACTGAATTAAGAAAATGTGTCTATTTGATTCTTCTCTCTTTTCTTCTTTATTAGTCTTGCTAGTGGTCTATCAATTTTTTTGATCCTTTCAAAAAACCAGCTCCTGGATTCATTGATTTTTTGAAGGGTTTTTTGTGTTTCTATTTCCTTCAGTTCTGCTCTGATTTTCGTTATTTCTTGCCTTCTGCTAGCTTTTGAATGTGTTTGCTCTTGCTTTTCTAGTTCTTTTAATTGTGATGTTGGGGTGTCAATTTTGCATCTTTCCTGCTTTGTCTTGTGGGCATTTAGTGCTATAAATTTCCCTCTACACACTGCTTTGAATGTGTCCCAGATATTCTGGTATGTTGTGTCTTTGTTCTCGTTGGTTTCAAAGAACATCTTTATTTCTGCCTTCATTTCGTTATGTACCCAGTAGTCATTCAGGAGCAGGTTGTTCAGTTTCCATGTAGTTGAGCCATTTTGAGTGAGTTTCTTAACCCTGAGGTCTAGTTTGATTGCACTGTGGTCTGAGAGATAGTTTGTTATAATGTCTGTTCTTTTACATTTGCTGAAGAGAGCTTTACTTCCAACTATGTGGTCAATTTTGGAATAGGTGTGGTGTGGTGCTGAAAAAAATGTATATTCTGTTGATTTGGGGTGGAGAGTTCTGTAGATGTCTATTAGGTCCACTTGGTGCAGAGCTGAGTTCAATTCCTGGGTATCTTTGTTAACTTTCTGTCTTGTTGATCTGTCTAATGTTGACAGTGGGGTGTTAAAGTCTCCCATTATTATTGTGTTGGAGGCTAAGTCTCTTTGTAGGTCATTCAGGACTTGCTTTATGAATCTGGGTGCTCCTGTATTGGGTGCATATATATTTAGGATAGTTAGCTCTTCTTGTTGAATTGATCCCTTTACCATTATGCAATGGCCTTCTTTGTCTCTTTTGATCTTTGTTGGTTTAAAGTCTGTTTTATCAGAGACTAGGATTGCAACCCCTGCCTTTTTTTGTTTTTCATTTGCTTGGTAGATCTTCCTCCATCCTTTTATTTTGAGCCTATGTGTGACTCTGCACGTGAGATGGGTTTCCTGAATACAGCACACTGTTGGGTCTTGACTCTTTATCCAATTTGCCAGTCTGTGTCTTTTAATTGGAGCATTTAGTCCATTTACATTTAAAGTTGATATTGTTATGTGTGAATTTGATCCTGTCATTATGATGTTAGCTGGTTATTTTGCTCATTAGTTGATGCAGTTTCTTCCTAGCCTTGATGGTCTTTACAATTTGGCATGGTTTTGCAGTGGCTGCTATCGGTTTTTCCTTTCCATGTTTAGTGCTTCCTTCAGGAGCTCTTTTAGGGCAGGCCTGGTGGTGACAAAATCTCTCAGCATTTGCTTGTCTGTAAAGTATTTTATTTCTCCTTCACTTATGAAGCTTAGTTTGGCTGGACGTGAAATTCTGGGTTGAAAATTCTTTTCTTTAAGAATGTTGAATATTGGCCCCCACTCTCTTCTAGCTTGTAGAGTTTCTGCCAAGAGATCCGCTGTTAGTCTGATGGGCTTCCCTTTGTGAGTAACCCGACCTTTCTCTCTGGCTGCCCTTAACATTTTTTCCTTCATTTCAACTTTGGTGAATCTGACAATTATGTGTCTTGGAGTTGCTCTTCTCGAGGAGTATCTTTGTGGCGTTCTCTGTTTTTCCTGAATCTGAATGTTGGCCTGCCTTGCTAGATTGGGGAAGTTCTCCTGGATAATATCCTGCAGAGTGTTTTCCAACTTGGTTCCATTCTCCGTCACTTTCAGGCACACCAATCAGATGTAGATTTGGTCTTTTCACATAGTCCCATATTTCTTGGAGGCTTTGTTCATTTCTTTTTATTCGTTTTTCTCTAAACTTCACCTCTCACTTCATTTCATTCATTTCATCTTCCATCACTGATACCCTTTCTTCCAGTTGATCACATCGGCTCCTGAGGCTTCTGCATTCTTCACGTAGTTCTCGAGCCTTGGCTTTCAGCTCCATCAGCTCCTTTAAGCATTTCTCTGTATTGGTTATTCTAGTTATTCATTCATCTAAATTTTTTTCAAAGTTTTCAACTTCTTTGCCTTTGGTTTGAATTTCCTTCTGTAGCTCGTAATAGTTTGATCATCTGAAGCCTTCTTCTCTCAACTCATCAAAGTCATTCTCCATCCAGCTTTGTTCTGTTGCTGGTGAGGAGCTGCGTTCCTTTGGAGGAGGAGAGATGCTCACTTTTTAGAGTTTCCAGTTTTTCTGCTCATTTTTTTCCCCATCTTTGTGGTTTTATCTGCTTTTGGTCTTTGATGATGGTGAAGTACAGATTGGTTTTTGGTGTGGATGTCCTTTCTGTTTGTTTGTTTTCCTTCTAACAGACAAGACCCTTAGCTGCAGGTCTGTTGGAATTTCCTAGAGGTCCACTCCAGACCCTGTTTGCCTGGGTGCCAGCAGCGTTGGCTGTAGAACAGCAGATTTTCGTGAACCACAAAAGCTGCTGTCTGATCGTTCCTCTGGAAGTTTTGTCTCAGAGGAGTACCTGGCCAGGGGATATCACCACCAATCCCACAGAAATACAAACTATCATCAGAGAATACTACAAACACCTCTACACAAATAAACTAGAAAATCTAGAAGAAATGGATAAATTCCTTGACACATACACCCTCCCAAGACTAAAGCAGGAAGAAGTTGAATCTCTGAATAGACCAATAACAGGAGCTGAAATTGTGGCAATAATCAATAGCTTACCAACCAAAAAGAGTCCAGGACCAGATGGATTCACAGCCGAATTCTACCAGGGTACAAGGAGGAACTGGTACCATTCCTTCTGAAACTATTCCAATCAATAGAAAAAGAGGGAATCCTCCGTAACTCATTTTATGATGCCAGCATCATCCTGATACCAAAGCCGAGCAGAGACACAACCAAAAAAGAGAATTTTAGACGAATATACCTGATGAACATTGATGCAAAAATCCTCAATAAAATACTGGCAAACCGAATCCAGCAGCACATCAAAAAGCTTATCCATCATGATCAAGTGGTCTTCATCCCTGGGATGCAAGGCTGGTTCAATATACACAAATCAATGAATGTAATCCAGCATATAAACAGAACCAAAGACAAAAACCACATGATTATCTCAATAGATGCAGAAAAGGCCTCTGAGAAAATTCAACAACCTTCATGTTAAAAACTCTCAATAAATTTGGTATTGATGGGATGTATCTCAAAATAATAAGAGCTATCTATGACAAAACCACAGCCAATATCATACTGAATGGGCAAAAGCCGGAAGCATTCCCTTTGAAAACTGGCACAAGACAGGGATGCCCTCTCTCACCACTCCTATTCAACATAGTGTTGGAAGTTCTGGCCAGGGCAATTAGGCAGCAGAAGGAAATAAAGGGTATTCAATTAGGAAAAGAGGAAGTCAAATTGTCCCTGTTTACAGATGACATGATTGTATGTCTAGAAAACCCCATTGTCTCAGCCCAAAATCTCCTTAAGCTGATAAGCAACTTCAGCAGTCTCAGGATACAAAATCAAAGTACAAAAATCACAAGCATTCTTATACACCAATAACAGACAAACAGAGAGCCAAATCATGAGTGAACTCCCATTCACCGTTGCTTCAAAGAGAATAAAATACCTAGGAATCCAACTTACAAGGGACGTGAAGGACCTCTTCAAGGAGAACTACAAACCACTTCTCAATGAAACAAAAGAGGATACAAACAAATGGAAGAACATTCCATGCTCATGGGTAGGAAGAATCAATATCGTGAAAATGGCCATACTGCCCAAGGTAATTTACAGATTCAATGCCATCCCCATCAAGCTACCAATGACTTTCTTCACAGAATTGGAAAAAACTACTTTAAAGTTCATATGGAATCAAAAAAGAGCCCACATCGCCAAGTCAGTTCTAAGCCAAAAGAACAAAGCTGGAGGCATCACGCTACCTGACTTCAAACTATACTACAAGGCTACAGTAAGTGAAAAGCACCTTTAAATTATCTGGATTCATAATTTTTTGTGAGAAGACTTTTTATTGCTTCAGTGTCTTTAATAGTTAAAGAATTTTGCAGGCTCTATTTTATGCTGGAATCAGTTTTAGTAAATTATATTTGTCTCTTTTCCTAAGATTTTGTGTGTTTTAAAATGTATTTACTTCTTTGGCCTTTATTGACTTTTTTCTTTGTTCTTTCTTTCTCTTTTTTTTTTTTTTTTTTTTTTTTTTGAGATGGGGTCTCACTCTTGTTGCCCAGGCTGGAGTACAATGGCAATTTCTTGGCTCACCACAACCTCTGCCTCCCGGGTTGAAGCAGTTCTCCTGCCTCAGCCTCCTGAGTAGAGTAGTTGGGATTACAGACATGTGCCACCACACCTGGCTAATTTTATATTTTCAGTAGAGATGGGGTTTCTCCATGTTGGTCAGGCTGGTCTTGAACTCCTGACCTCAGGTGATCCACCCACCTTAGCCTCCAAAAGTGCTGGGAATACAGGCATGAGCCACCATGCCCAGCCTATTGACTCTTTATTATGCTGCTTTGTTTTCTATTGCATAGATGTATTGCCTTATCTCTTTTTTCCCCTTCCTCCTGTTTCCTTTGATTATGTTTTTCTTCTCTTTAACTTAGAAATATAGCCCACGAATATTTGGCTTGTCTAATACATCATTTATGGCTGGATATTTCCCTCAAATGCCACTTTGGCTGTATCCCACACATTTTGTTGTATAATGTTTATGTTATCATTACTCTCTAATCCTTAAACATTTTTCATTCAAATTTGTTCTTTGACCTGTGAGGATGTAGAGTGCAGTTTTCAATTGCCAAATTACATTTTCTACATGTGCATGAGTTTCTACTTGTCCCTCACATCAGACAGACAGTAGCTTGATTGTTAAAAGTCTTGGGCTTTGAGATCTAATAGACTTGGATTCACATCATAGCTCATTCACTCACTCCTGTATTCATTAAATAGGCATTATTCTTGGTGCTGAGGATATATCACTAAACAGAAATCCATGCTCACATAGATGTTACATGCTGGTATGTGTCCCACCATTTACTAGACTCCACTACTTATTAGTTGTATCAGTTTGAAAAAGTCTCTCAGTTTCTCCCTGTAAATCAATTTTTTTATCTGTCAATGAGAATAATAATTATTCTATTCTAGGGAGCTCTTGGGAGAATGTAGTGAGATAAAGTGCTTAGTACAGTGGTTAGAACAGTGAACACTTTAGTAAATGCTTGCTATTACCATTTGGACAGCTTTCTCAGAAAGCCTTTCCTAACCCAGCCCCACCCCTCCCCTTCCTGGCACCCAGACAGAACTAGATGCTTCTTTTGTATTCCTCCAGTGCATATTGTACTGGCCTCTAGCAGAATACTCAGGCAAAATATTGTAATCACGAATTGTCCACATCTCCCACCAGATTGCCAGTTCTCTAAAGACAATATATCATATGTAATTTTTTTTACCTCAGCATCTACCACAGTGCCTGGCAAGTGTTAAATGCTAAATAAATATATTTGAAATGGCTAAAGGAAGGATTGAAGGATTGATATAGATTTCAGAAAAGGAAAGTAAGTGTATGTTGCTGAGATATTTATTGATTCGTTTAGTCAAAAAATGTTTATTAGGCACTGATTACCTGTCAGCCACTTTTCAAGGTACTGTATAGGTTCAAACAAAACAGACAAAATTTTGTTATGGTACTTAAATCTTAGAAAGGAGAAATATGCATTAGATATGGTTGAGTGATTGCAGAAAAATAAAACAGATTAAAGAAGTAAATAGTATTGTGGGAAGGCTGCTATTTGATATGTGATGGCCAAAGAAACTCTCTCTGATAAGGTGTCATCTTAGTAGAGACCTGAAAGAAGTGAGAGGGCAAATCAGAGAGACTTGTGGATGAAATATTCCAAGTTGAAGAAACAGTAAGTGCTGAAGTTCTTTAATCATATTCAAGGACAGCAAGGAGGCCAGTATGGCTGCACCAGAAGCACTGAGAGGGAGGGCGGTAAGAGATGAAGTCAGAGTGGTGGGCAGAGAGAGTGAGGATGCAGAGAGTGCAAGGCCTTGCAGACCATGGCTTTGCCTCTAAATGAGAAGAGATTCCATTGAAGGGTTCTGAATGGGAAAGTTCCTGTAATATACTCTGAGTTACATTTTACAAGAATCACTCTGGCTGCTACATGGAGGTCCGACTAGGGGTACAGGGGTAGTGGCAGAGACCACTTAGGACAGTATTGTAACATTCCAGGCTACAGTAGTCGTTTGGATCAGAGAGATAGCAGGTGGAAATTATGATTCTGGATATTTTTCAAGCAGAGAGCTGATAGATTTTGTTCAACTGTGTGTGGGTTGTTAAAGAAAGAGATGAATCAAGGATAGCCCCAAAGTTTTTGGCTGAACTACTAAACAAATTGAATTAGCATTTGGTTAGAGGTAGAAGACTGGTGAAATAGCAAGTTTGTGTATGTATTGGGAAGGGGGTGGTTAGCAGTGGGTGTATCAGGAGGCCCATTTTAGAGCTGTTAAATGTGAATGTCTATTACACCTCCAGGTGGAAATGTTGAACAAGTATATGGATATATAGATCAGAACGTCAGTGTTGAGATCAGAATCTCTTATGCTATCAACCTGTACATAACTTTTTTTTTTACCCCCATCTTTTTAAAGTATAAATCAATATGGACCAGATGATTCTTGAGAATCTTCTCTGAAGAGGAGTTATGTTTTTCAGATAGATTTTTAGCTGGCATTTTTTTAAGTAGGGCAATAATCATTTTACTATAACAACTGACATCATAATTGAATAATGAGCTTAGGCATATGCTTTGCAAAAACCTACATACCTTAAATAGAATTGAATTCAAATGAGTATCTTTTCGAAAGAACTACTGAATTCACAAATGTATGTAAAATGTTCTTAATTAAGCTTAATGTAAGTATTAATATAAAAAGAAAAACACTATTATGAATAAAACCCTGGATACCAGAGTGGACAATTGAGTCTGACATATTCCCGGAGAAATATTTAAAGTAAGCTAACCCAAGAAAATCTTGCCTTTAGAATTTTTTAGTTAAACTTTTAATAAAGATTCAAATAAAATGTTAAGAAACTTTCTAAATGGTTCTGACAGTAATGGTCCAGTCAGGAAAATAAAGTTTCTAGCCTCTGTCTTGGGGCTTTCAGAATAAACTAGATAACCTTAGAATTAAATGTGGATTTATGTTTTTCTGAACAGTACCCCCTTTTATTGACTACATGTGTTTCCCCAAGAATTTGTTTTAGAGTAGATGTTTCAAATAAATGGTCCAATTCTTAACCCATTCACATTGTTTCATTTTGCAGATAACCACTTGCCTAGCATAAAAATCTTTACCTTGTTCTCAGAAATTGATTCTTGACTCTACACAGCAAATCCTTCGTCTTTATTGTTGTGACCCATTATAAATACCTTCCACTATGATGGGCATATATTTTCCTATTCTCCTCTAGCACTTACTCTCTTTTTTTCCCCCAGGATTCCAGGTCTTGGCAACCTTTGAAATTCCAATTCCATTTGAGAGAGCTTTGATGAGGCCATATGCTGATTTCACCACCAGCAACTTCACAACCCAGTACTGGAATGCCATCAGCCAGCAGGCCCCTGTCATCACCTGTGACTTCTATCTGTGGCTCACTGGAAGGAAACCCAGGTGAGAAGCTGAGTCAATGGCTTTGAGAATGTCACTGCATATGAGAGATTGAGGCCCCAAAGTCTTCTGTGCTTCCTTCAGCCAAGGATTAAAGGAAACAACTTAATCTGGCCCATATATACAGATTGAACACACCTACTCGAAAATCCAAAATCTGAAATTCTCCAAAATCCAAAATGTCTTGAGTGCTGACATGATGCCACAAGTGGAAAATTCCACACATCTTACCTCATGTGATGGGTCACAGTAAAACATATTCAAAACTTTGTTTCATGCATAAAATTATTTAAAATATTGTATAAGATTACCTTCAGGTTATGTGTATGTGGCTAAGTGTGTATGAAACATGAGTGAATTTTGTGTTTAGACATGGGTCCCATTCCCAAGATATCTCATTACATAGAAGAAAATATTCCAAAATCTGAAAACAGTTGAAACCCAACACACTTCTGACCCAAGCATTTCAGATAAAGGATACTCAACCTGTATAAGTTTTGAACAAACAAAGCAGTCATAGTGAGAAGCCACAGAAGCTTCCTACATGAAAAATGCTCCAGCATAATAAAGGAAGGTAAATGTTAAAGCGCCTGCTTGATGAATTCAGCAAGTGATCATTCACGCAAAAAGAAAAGCAACTGAGACGCTGTCACTAGGGTTTTTCAAATAGGTAGATAATCTTAAATATCCAGTAATGATGACAACCTCACTTACTGGGAGCTTACTCATGGGGCTAAGGAGGATGCATGATGATCCCATTTTTATTGTCACAGCTACTGATGAAGATACCCTCATCAACCCATTTTACAAATGGAGAAATAGAAGCTAAGGGAAGAATCTGAAGTAGTCTCAAAGGCAGTGACAGGAAGGATGTGGAGAAAGCTGAGTGTCAAAGTCAGTATTCAGGACCGGATTTACTGCTACTTAGAGATGAATGAAGAAATCAGAGGGAACGCAGTGTGCTGATGCTAAAGCAGCTGTCACCACCCAGCTGTGTGACATAGGACATATTCTTTCTCTGTCTCACTTGAATAATATGATGTGTCAGAGGAGACATGATTGTAATTGCCTAAAGCAATTCTTGTGATCAAGACTCAGAGGCATGAACAGTATTGCCCTCTGTGTTAGCCCCTTTATAAGGGAGGAAGTCATCTTCAGCATGTTGAATTGCCATCTTTCTTAGCAATGCAAATGACTAAAACTTAGCCAATGTAGAGTTTATCCAAATTTGGAACTCATAACTCAGTTCTTGGGCAAAGTGAAAAGAAAACATTGTGATTACAGGGAAAATATTTGTATGGGACTTATTAAATAAAGATAGGAAAAGGAGAAAACCCAAATATTATAGGCAGAAATGCTAAAGGTTTTAAAATATGTCAGGATAGGAAGAAGGCATGGATAAAGAACAGTTCAGTTAGGAAAGAGAAACACAGAAGGAAGAGACACAATAAAAGTCATTATGTATTTTGTGAGAAGTCAGACAGTAAGATTTGTGGGAAATGGGTTGGTTTGTTGTATGGTGTGTATTTTAGCAATAATCTTTATGGCAGAGAAAGCTAAAATCCTTTAGCTTGTGTGAATGATCACTTGCTGAATTCCTCAAGGTAGGCGTGATGAAGGAGGGTTTAGAGGAGACACAGACACAATGAACTGACCTAGATAGAAAGCCTTAGTATACTCAGCTAGGAATAGTGATTCTGAGGACACACTTTGACATGATTATGTCATTACATGTATGGTAGTGATGGGGATGATAGAAGGAAGAACTGTTGGCATATTTTCACCCCCCAAAAAATCAGTTAAATATTGGGACACTAACCATCCAGGTCTAGAAAAGTCACATGCCATAGCCATGGTATTGCACATCATTCATCTTGCATTCTTTGAGAATAGGAAGATCAGTAAATAGTTCAGAAGTGGGAAGCTTTGTCCAGGCCTGTGTGTGAACCCAATGTTGTGTTTAGAAATAGAACAAGTAAGTTCATTGCTATAGCATAACACAACATTTGTTTAAGTGGTGGTCAGCAAATCCTTGAATGCTGCTTAATGTGACGAGGTTGGTAAAATCCTTTGTGCAACACTCTTACTCCCTGAATATTTTGCAGTGCCAGGGCCTGTGCATGCCAGACAAGGCCAAGATGGCTCAAAGAGCAACCAGCCACCTCAGCAACCTGCCACCTCCTGCTGGCAGGATTTGTTTTTGCAACCTGTGAAGAGTCAAGGAGGCACAAAGGCATAAGTCTACTCACTTATATCTGTTTGTCTGGAACATAACCCATGTTTGTTTTTACAACAAATAAAATTGATCTTGAATAAAAACTGAGTGGTCATTGTCATTAATCTTTGAATCCAGATTAACCTTTTGGCCATGCCTAGTCTAAGAGAAAAGAGATATTCTTATCAATAAATACAGAGCCAAGCTATATCAGTGAAGATCTCAAGTGCATAGACAGTAGTATAGGGAAGAGTCAGAGGCCAAAAAGACAAGGATGGCAGACATTGAACAGAGGAGAGTGTGGTGTGTTTGCCTTTGCATCAACTGAGATCGTGGAATAACACCTGAGGCTTGGGGAGAGCACCTACAAGATACCAATAAAGCATTGTAAGAACATCTATGAAGTGAGAAAATTTGAATTACTGTTGTTCTTGTGGTTATGATTGTATTTATGGTTGTTACTTCATTCGTATTAATCATCTATGTGCCCGAGTGTAATCATGAAGTTAGATTTTTCCCAGAGTTTTTATTAGACTCAAGAATTCCCATAGACAAAGGCAATATCACTATCCTATTTATACATTTCTTCTCTCAGTTCTGCAGAGCCAAAATGTAGAGTCCAATCTTTTAGATAGGTTATGCAATAAAGGCTGACTTGGATTATCTAACTGGTACATGAGGCCCAGTGTGGTAGTTTACTCCAGAGGAAATTGGCACCTGTATATAATTGTAGTTAAGTTGATCCCTTGATATCAGAAGTTTCTGCTATGCAGTCCTTTTTGATGATTTCTTAATATATATCCTCCTTTTAGACAGTACTAGTGGCCATAGATGTACATGGCAGCAGAATATTACAGATGGTAAACCTTGAATCTGCATTTTAGTAGCAAGAGCATTTGGAGTCTTGTGCTTCCCTTGTAGACATCTTCTTAACATCTACATCCTATCTTTTGTCTACTGTTGTTACTACTACTAGTTCCATAGACATTCTAACTTTCATTTGGATATACATTTTTGTTATTTGTAAGCTCCCCCTTCTTTTTTCATTTTTTCACACCCTTTCAGACTGTTCTAAAATCAGAAAGGAAATTCTCCTCCATGAGCATGTGTATGTTTTTGGCTCTTGGAACTTGAGATGGTGCAAGTAAGTACAAGCACATTTTCCAGATAAGTCATGTGAAGTGATATACATTTCATAATATGATCATTTCTGATTGATCTGATCTATTAAGACTACCAATAGAGATGGCTGTAAAGAATTAAGAACATCAAACAATGTCAAGTTGTTCATTGCATGTATTTCAGAACATTACCGAGATAAAGCCAGGTGGAGTCATCAATTTCACCAGCTAGTTATTTCCTTGCTGCAGTACCAAAGATTGTCATTTTTGAACTAAAGCCTCTGGTTTTTCTAACTCATCTTTCATTGTTCATATTGGCAAGTGAATAATTAGTGAATATATATGTTTAGGTTATGAGGAATTTAAAACACAACCTAAGAGTTGTAATGTTGATTGCTTTTAAATGTTGTAATTGTTTTGAGAGTGTCTGCTAATGATTCCTTAATTACATACTTGCTTTTCTTAGAAAGTCAACTCATTTCATTGTGATTAATTTTCTCTTAAATATTTAACTTCATATTTTAATAAATCACAATGCCTGGGATTCCATTAGATATTTGAAAAGATCAAGTTTAATTTTTTTTACCCAGGTAACATACACAATGGCTCAAGATTTGTGTTCTTTGATCTCACAATTTAAAAAAATATGCATTAAGCACCATGGAAATCCCAAGAACTTCAGCAAGAAAGAGTCTTTGTTCCATAGTTTCTTTGCTTGATAAATATGTGGACTAAAATAAATGCAATATCTTAATTCAGTTTTTGCTTCATGAGACTGGTTGAGTGAACATAGGCCTAGTGCTTTGAAAATTGGCCTATTGTAGAAGATTGATAATCTAATAGCCTAAAGAGAATCCATTTCTTATAAGAACATATATATTTTGGAAAATATGGTATTTCTCAGAAAACTGCTGAAATGAATTATGTATCTTTTCTATCTTTATCTTTAATTCTATTACTTTCAAAGATCTAAAGCTTTCACTTGAAAATTAGTCTTTTGGAAAAAAATCGAAACTAGTGTTAAATTATATTTCATTGAGGTAATGAATATGAAGATTCATTTGCTGTAATCTCCTTGTGATCTTTTAAAGTAGTTTCTTGTGCTTTTAAAAATAACACTATAATGGTCTATATGTGTATCAGTTTTTACAATAATTTGTCTAAACTTTAGCTTATACAGTGTGCATGAAGAACCAAGTGCAGTCTGAATTAGCACAATGCAAATAGAAAACCGAACTTTTATTTTCCTCACAAAATTATATCTAATATAAACCTTATGTAAAATAGAGAATTTTTAAGTGCTTGTAAAATAATAACAAAATCATACATAATGTCAGTGTAGGAGAAAAGTTAAGGATTTTATATCACACTAAAATGCATTTCTAAATTGACTTAGTATTGTTATAAAACATATTCTTGAATATTGTATCAGAATTTATCACCACTATTGAAGTCAAAATAAAGATGGATCTCTAAATTATACAATTTATTTGGGAATCACAGAATTGTAGTTCTGAACAAAACTGAAAACCACGGTGGTCTTCTATATGTGTGAAGGACAAAGAGAAGATTGGGGGTTTACTAGCAAGGGAAATGCTATATATTGTTTTGAAAGAAAGCACACGGACACTAGAGAAGATTTTGGGAGCTGATCAAGCAAGCCTAATGGGAGGCAAATCTTTTGAGACTTCCCAGGAGCCCAACTATAAAATCCCTTAGTCAATTTTAAGTGAAAAAGACTTAAATTTGAATTTGATTCTGTGGAAGTTTGTCATTTGTTTGGATGCAAAAAGCCTAAAAATATTTAATTAAAGTAGAATTACATATCCTTGAGAGATAATGGTCACTTATTTAACCAGAGTAATAATGGAAAGACTTCAAAAACAAATTCAAAAGTTACCTGGTCAAGAGAAAAAAATACTTAGACCTGTGTTAGAGATGACTTAGTTTTTTTCAGGCGGTCAAAACCCGAATAAAGACAGCCCAAACCACAAGAAGCTATCTTAAAACATAAAATATCTGCTTGTTAGGTGGATTACTTAGAGAGAGAGAAAAAAAAAACCTTTTGTAATATGACCATTTCTCTTGGTATATGCCCTTTTGAGTAAACTGGAAATTAAACCCCATGAAAAACTACTTTAATTCAACTAGACGCTGGAAGAGTGTATGTCTAAAGTTATATGTAAACCATATTATAGAATAATAATACACACACACACACACACACACACACACACACACAAACAAGTAGTACCTCCACCAGGTGGAATGGATGGCTTTTTAGAAAAAGAAAGAGCATGTGAAATTTCCTGGTTACATAGAACAATCTGGATACATCAGGAAAAGCCAAGAGTACAGAATTAATCTATACCAGAAAAACATTGTTTTTCCAGTTTTTTTCTTGAGACAAACGTTCTCGGTGTCAGGTTATAATACCAGAGTGCGAAGTGGGAAAAAATGCAATAGGAACTGACAAAAAAAAAAAAAAAATGAGAGAGAGAGTCACCACTTTAGTTAATCAAAAAGATGTACTGTTTTAAGGAGAGAAGTAACAAGAGCAGAAGGCATTGATGTATTAACTGCAAATTACACGTATTGAGATGCATAAAAAGCCAAACCCTTGGGATAAAAATCTGAAAAGCTTTAAGAGGAAAAGTCTACCTCCTGAAATGAAGTGATCATTTTTTTTATTGCTGCTTCTAAAAAAAGGATACATGTACAGGATGTGCAGGTTTGTTGCATAGGTATACGTGTGCCATAGTGGTTTGCTGCACCTATTGACCCATCCTCTAAGTTCCCTCCCCTCATCCCTATCCTCCAATAGACCGTGGTGTATGTTGTTCCCCTCTCTGTGTCCATGTGTTCTCAATGTTCAACTCCCACTGAATGAGAACATGCAGTGTCTGGTTTTCTGTTCTTGTGTTAGTTTGCCGAGGATGATGGCTTCCAGTTTCATCCATGTCCCTGCAAAGGACATGCTCTCATTCATTTTTCATGGCTGCATAGTATTCCATGGTGTATATGTGACATATTTTCTTTATCCAGTCTGTCATTGATGGGCATTTGGGTTGGTTCCAGTCTTTGCTATTGTAAATTGTGCTGCAATAAGTAGAATGATTTATATTCCTTTGGGTATATACCCAGTAATGGGATTGCAGGGTCAAATGGTATTTCTGGTTTTAGATACTTGGGGAATCACCATGCTGTCTTCCACAATGATTAAACTAATGTATATCCTCACCAACAGTGTAAAAGCATTCCTATTTCTCCACAGCTTCACCAGCATCTATTGTATCCTGACTCTTTTAAATAATCACCATTCTGACTGGCATGAGATGGTATCTCATTGTGGTTTTGATTTGCATTTCTCTGATGATCAGTGATGTTGAGCTTTCTTTCATATGTTTGTTGGCCAACTTCTTTTGAGAAGTGTCTGTTCATATCCTTTGCCCACTTTTTAATGATATTATTGCTCATATTAACTTTGAAATGACTGAAAATTCAAAATAAAGACAAGAAAGATAAAATTATATTTTTTAAGTTACAGGTATGAAGTATTTTTGAAAGGAAAGAAACCTCTAGATTATATATACATGTATGTGTATATATTTATATGTATATGTGTGTATATATAATATATATATTGCTTTCAACAAAAAAATTATTAGAGTCAAAATAGTATCATCTCCAGATATTTTTATTTAGCTTGGTATCTAAAATCATTTAGGTGACCCATTCCCATGTTTGGAAAATTTTTAAAATTTGTTGTATATATCTGTGGTATTCAGTATAGTAGCCACTAGCTACTTAACTTTTAATCAGTTATAATTAAATGAAATTTAAAATTCAGTTCTTCCGTCATACTAGCTACATTTCAAGTGCTCAATAGACACACTTGGCGAGTGGCTACTTTATTGGACAGGGCAAGTATAGAATATTTCCATTATCACAGAATATTTAACCAGACAGCATTGATCTAAATGGTTAATTTTTTTTTTTTAACTGGAGTGCATTGGTACATTCTCAGCTCACTGCAACCTCTGCCTCCCAGGTTCAAGCAATTTTCTGCCTCAGCTTCCCAAGTAGCTGGGATTATAGGTGCCCACCACCACACTCGGCTAATTTTTTTATTTTTAGTAGAGACAGGGTTTCACCATCTTGGCCGGGCTGGTCTTGAACTCCTGACCTCATGATCCACCAGCCTTGGCCTCCCAAAGTGCTGGGATTACAGGCATGAGACATTGCACCAGGCCAAGTATCTTGTAGAGAAAGTTTATATTATGATTCAGATTTCCATTTCTTCACATTTTTTCTGAAAAGCTAAGGTTTTGTTATTGAACTACTATTAGAAGTTGAATGTGATCCTCTTCCAATGTCTGGCATTGCCTTCCTGTGGAATTAACACTCTGTGTGATTTAGAGTACACGTCCTGACTTTCTCAATGCTCATAAATACCTTATCTGTAGGAAACTTTCTTGAAGGGAAAAGCAGCTTTAGCCTGTCTCCAGTATATGGCCCTGACTTGCTTGTACATGTAATCTATTATGAAGGAAAAAGAGCCATCCTCACAAATCTACAAGATTAAAACTTCTAGCACAAACACAGCTTGAATCAGTGCTTCTGTAGCTTCTTTCAGCAAAGGGACCATAGCCAGTACTGTGGCTACAACATATGCCTTGCCATCAGATACAAGAGTTAGGCTTCATATCCACGTCCTGTGCAATAAAAAGCTTTAAATCTGAGTGGAACATCCATAGAACTAGCTCATAGACAACGCAGAAGTAGGAACACTTCGGTCTGTGTTCAAGTAAAATGAAGGTTGAGATTTCTTTATGCAGCAGAAGAAGCAGGATTCCGTATCTGTCTTTGGAGTCAGGTTGGTCTTTGAAAGAAAACCAATTTGCTTTTAAGAGGTTCTAATCTAGCAGGATACCAGATGATGGCAAGCGTGTTTAAACCAAGTATAGACTAAGGGATTGGTACATTGATAAACTACCTTCTGTTTCAGCAGAGGGTAATTAGGGTGCCAGCAATGCTGTTATTACTACTAAGGTCACCAAGGACCTAGATCAAGAAGTTCCATCCAGCAACACCTTATTACAGTGTACAGAGGTCAACAGTCAGAGGTAAAAGAAAAAGAATAATCTTTTATCAGACTTTTACATTACATTGATAATTTTTAATACAGAATATTTTTCATTCTTTTATTTTGATTCACTGGTATTTATTTCTGATTCTGACTCTGCCTACTGTTATTCACCCTACTTGTTAATGCTAATCTATTCTTTTTATTTGTAAAAGCATAACTTTTCTCAGGCATAGTTGTGTGTGTATATGTGTATTTAACCTATTCTAGAAACATTAATTTAAAGTAGAAGAGATTGAGATTGCAGATTATAATAGCATGTAAAGAGTTTTATACAGTTAATACCTGAGAGTCTGCACAGTGGGGAACTCTGAAGTAATATGTAAGGTGTCAAGAACAAGCAGGTCAGGACTGTGGCACTCAAAGGGCAGGTAACCAGCTTTTCAGTAACATTTTTAAGTAGCAGTTTCAGAGATCCTTAGAGAATGCCAGGCAGTAAAGGACACATCTCAAAATCCATACAGCAGATTTCTGGTTTCCAAGTTTATGGGATATAGTACTTAATAAAGTATTTGAAACTCTACAATTGCTATGGAAGAGACATTCTGGAGAGTTACGTATTATCCAAAAATAAATTTTTCAGAAGCAAGAAATTTTAAAATAAGAAACCAACCAAAAAAGAATGGCCAACCATTTAAACCTTTTTTTCCATTAATAAGGAGCTACATAGTCTGCTGGTGAAGAACTTGATAGAAATTGACTGTTTTCACTTAGTGGGCTGATCCCCTTGTATCTGTGTCAGATAAAATCATAGCACTTATTATTTGTTACCGGATACCATGAAGATACTGCCATCCACTAAATAGTAGTAGAGGAAGACAACATAATTTTCTGCAACTAGTCCCGTTTTGCCTTCATAAGCTGCCTTTAACCATCCTGGTTCCACTGATGGGTCCACACTGGAAAATATCACTCTTTGTGGGAAGGAAAGCTCACGCTGTGCTCTCCTTTATAGGAGTACATGGCTTTGGCTTGGTGCCCAGAAGAAACTGGCTTAGGTGAACCAACATTTTCAAACAGTTGAGCTTTTGCTGCCACTACTGAGCCAGGACGCTGATAGCCATTGCTTGAGGTGGTGTCTAGTCTTAACCTCCTGCACATTTTTGGAGGCAGGTCTGGGTTTGAAGCTTTGGGTGTCTCCTTGGAACCTACAGAAGTTAAGCTTTGAATAGATCCACTGTAGCTAATGTTTCCTTCAGCTGCAGAGATGGATCTGAGAGAAGAAGCAGAAGCTCTTTTCAGTCCTGAAAGCCCATAAGGCCCTTTCTTGACTAGGTCTATGGGTGGGGAAACATCCCCTGGGCTAGTGACCGAAGCAACACTCTGGCAATCTGATTCTGCATCTGTCTTGGTTGCATCTTCTCTAGAACTTGATTCAGGATTAGTTGTCCAGAGACCAAGGCTTTTCTGTCCATTGGAAGATTGGGTTGCAATCCAAGGAATCCCTCCAGATTTCTCCCTGGGCTGGCAGAAAGCTGACTTTGTAGTGCTATTTTGTTCTGAGGAAAGAGAAGAGAGTGACGTGATGCTCCCCATGGGGGTGCTGTCTGTGCTGCTGCTATAGGAATCACTATCAAGTTCAGCCAGGCATGGAGTACACATCCCTCTGGGCTTCCTAGAGCCTGTAGAGAGGCAGATTGCTCATGTCCTTTGGGATCCAGATCGAGACTGAGGCTGTCCTTTGGGATCCAGATCGAGACTGAGGCTGAGGAAGAGGAATGCTTGGGTCTGGAGCAGTATGAAAAATCGTTTCACTGTGCTCTATCAGAATTTCTACACAATATTCTGAAATTTAATATTCACCATAGCAGCCACAGTTTATTCTTGTGCTCTCATTAGAGTTGGGCCAAATATGACACCAAGATTTTAGACAGTCATGAGATTTTGTTGGCTGTGCAGTGATACTTTGACCAGATGTTTTATTAAGATGTCCAGCATCTCTCTGTTTTTCTCTGGCAATGTGCACACCAATGCATGTACAGCCTCCACCCTGTAGTTTTGGTCATCAGATTTAACAGCAATGATACAAATCTTTGTGTAACTTGTAAGTTATCAGTGGTGCTGCAAAGCACCTGAGGTAGTTTTTCAGCCCACTCATTATTGTCTTATTGTCCCACAGTTCAATATCAATATCAGGAGGGGATTTAGGACAAAATATGATATTCATGAGTTTTTGAACTTTGGAGTTCACTCCTCCTATTCAGTAGAGGCCTAAAATGGTGATACCACTGGTTTCCACAGCTTGAATGCAGTTTCTCACAAAATTGAACCCTGCTTCATTCAAATACATTTCTTCTTTCTTGCTTATAATGTCAGGCAGAGTATAAATCAGTTCCTTCCCATCCGTGGCTTCAAGCCAGAGTTTCCTATTAGCTTCTGAGAAGGCCTGTAATGTGATGATCCCATGGCTTTCAACTACTTGTATGTCGAAGCAGAATTGTTTGTCAATTGAATCTGTCTTTCGTCGGATACAAGATTTTGAACATTTCCGGTGAGCTAGTAACAAGGCTGTTTAATCCATGTAAAACCAAGTGGTCATTTCTCCTGGACATGCAGATAGCCTTGCAGATTTCACCCTTTGCATCAACCCCTCTACCTCTTGTCAAGTACTTTCAAAATTATTCCTTGTATTCTGCAAGTCGAACTGCAGCTGTTGCTTATTTGGTGCAAATTCCTGGGCAAGTTCATATCCCTCGGGGTAAAAAAGTAAATAAATCCTGAAGAAATGACAAAAGCAGTTCAACAAATTCAAACTTCTGTTTTTCTTGAACCTCTTGAATTTTAAAGACATATTCTTTTTTCTTTTATTTTTATTTATTTGTTTATTTATTTATTTTGAGACGGAGTTTTGCTCTTGTTGCCCAGGCTGGAGTGCAATGGTGCAGTCTCGGCTCACTGCAACCTCTGCCTCCTGGATCCAAGCGATTCTCCTGCCTCAGCCTCCCGAGTAGCTGGCTTTACAGGCATGTGCCACCAGGCCCAGTAATTTTGTATTTTTAGTAGAGACGGGATTTCTCCATGTTGGTCAGGCTGGTCTCGAACTCCTGACCTCAGGTGATCCACCCGCCTCAGCCTCCCGAAGTGCTGGGATTACAGGCGTGAGCCATTTAAAGACATTCTGATGATGCTTCATAGAAGTTCTGATGTGCTCAATCAATTTGTGTATCTGCCTCTTGCAAATGAGACTCCTTTTTCTTTGCAGATAAATTTAAATGCTTTTCAAGGATAGAGAAATATTTTTCACTCTCTTTGTCAAACTTCTTTCCACCTTTTGCTGCACCTATCTGTTCTTTTTGAAGTTTCTCAAGTGGTGCAATTAATACATCATTAGCGTTTTGGGTCAGTCTTCGCTTTTCTTCTACTGCAATGAGTAGTCTTGCAAATTATTTTAGTGACTGACCAATACTAATTTCATCATCTGTTTCAACATCACCAATACATTCAAATTGGAAATCTTGTAATGACTGGGAAAATTTCTGCACTGCCATAGACAGATCTCCAACCTGGGTAGAGGTGTGTTACTGAAGGAACTCAGGGTTCCTTTGGAAAGGATGAAAGGGCAAGGGAACTGGGCAGGCAATCAACATTACCTGTCCTCAACGCCCCAGTGAGCAGAGAGCCGTCCTTAATGAGCTCCTTGATGAACTTGTTGGTTCGCTCCAGCTCAATCTGGTGACACTGCAAGCGCTCCCTAAAATCCGGGCTGTCCAAGTAGTAATCACTGAACTCCAGAGTGGGCAGCCCCATGGCACAGGCGCTGCCAGCGGCGGCCGCTGGCACGTCCGGGCCGGTGGTCAGGGCGGGGGCAGCTGGAGGCCGCGGCGGGCGCTGGGGCAAGCCAGGGGACTCGCTGGCAAGCCAGGGGACTGATCGCTGGAAGGAAATGGGACCGCGCGCCGCGCCGCCTGAGCCGGGCTCAGTCTTCCTCCCCCTGGGCGAGGCGAGCACAGGCCTGGCGGAGGGCCTAGGCGCAGGTCTGCTCAGGTTGTTGTCAACGGGAGGCACCCTCGTTGGGAGCGCTGGGACTGCGAGCAACACTGTTGATTATTAAAGAAGCACACAATAGAAGTGCTAATTTTATTTTACGAGTTCCTTGATAATTTTTAGACTCTTTTGTAGGAAAAAAAAAAGTAGTGTGTTTATGCTTGCCCCAGGCTTCCCTGTATAAAAGCTGCTTTTTCTCAACTTTCAAAAATGAGTTTCTGATTGACATTAATGATTCTGTTAAATCTCTATATAAGGCAAAGGCAATTGGGAACATTTGGAAAGGCATTTGGAAACTTCCAAAATTATAAATATTTGCATTTAAACTTCCAAAGCCAGTTGTGTTCATTAGTTTTTTTTTAAAATTTTTCCTAAGAAATTATCTCACAAAAAGCAAGAGGCCTCTAGTGTAACTAGTTTTCAGTTTTCCTGTTACTGGAGTCAGATCAGCTGAAGCATGTTCAACCTCTCCCCTGTGGGCCAGTTACAGGGGAAGGAAGGAAGGAAGGAAGGGGGAAAGGGAGGAAGGGAGGAAGAGAGGGAGGGAGGGAAGGAAATGTAGTCCTGGGGATACACTAACAGTTCCAGAAACAGAAGCAATTTATTTTCTCAATTTCTTTCTTACCTTCTTTTACACTATCATTCACTAATTCAATCACCAGCATGGTTTTACATGTCCAGCTTCTTTCCTGTTCTTAAAAATCTCTTCCAATCGCACCGTCTTTTTCTTAAAAGCTTCAAATTTCCCGTAGTTATTTTATTCAAGAGCCATGAGGTTCAACATGATTTCGTCATACACTCTGGATCACAGAATAGAATCAGCAACCTTGGCATAGCCCAACACACACACACAAACACACACACACACACACACATACACACACACACGACACAACTTTCTGACCAGCATCTTTTGGAAATGGAGTACTGCTGTGGAAGTAGAAAGGGAATTTTCCTATCATTAGGGACCTACAGTGTGGTAGGCACTAAGACAAACATTTGACTTCATTACTCTAATCCTCAGAAATCTCTGTAGTGTGCCTATTCCTATATCACAGATGAGATATTAGTTCATGAAAGCTGTCCTCTATCCAGGGTTATGTAATTTGTGCCCAGTTATACAGCAAAATTGGAATGCAGGTCTCTAATCTCTAAAGCCCATACTTTCCCTATTGTAGTTTATTGCCTCTCCTAGGAAATTTCTTCCTCCATGACAATATCATGAAGAAGGGGAAACTATTGCTTGTCACTTCTGAGTTAGTATCAACACTTCTTCCATCCTCTAGCACGAATAATGTAGCGACACCACCAATTCTGTTGCAGAGCAGAAATAATCTTAAGGTTGTTCAACTTCCTAGCCACCCTAGTTCCTTTCCTGCCCAGCTGCAAGAAAGAATTATTAAAGAACTCTGTGAAATTGACCTTTGGTGTGGAAAGAAAACATGACAAGATGGTGAATCAAACATTGTGTTGCATTTAGCATTTATTATAGATTACTATGCAAAATGAACTAAAATTTTGTTAAATGCAAAATTGTCTATAAGAACAGCATAATATGTGCTTAATCCTACTTCTCTGCGATCACTTGATAAGTTAGTCAAATGATTGGCATTTTAGACATGATGGTGCAGAGAGGTAAGTAATTTGCCCCAGGCACATAGCAAATAAATGGCAGAATCAGAATTCAAATCCAGTCTTTCATGGCTCCAAAGGGCCTGAGTTCTTTCCAATACACTAATGGTTCTCAAATTCAGAGTGTATCAGAATTACTAGAGAGTGTGTTCAAAGTAAAGCTAGATGCCCAAGCTTTGACACTGCTGAATGAGAATTTCCAGGGTCAGGACATATGTTTGTTTGTTTGTTTGAGCAACTTCCTAGGCAACCCTGCTATATGCCGAAGTTTGACGGCCATACCACTATACCATGCTGCCTTATGGAGTTATAGAAATGATCCTTGCTAAAGCATTAAAAACGTGCCGACTAATCTTTACATCTTATGGGAGTTACTGGTGAACTAGCAAAAATTTTAACATTTTGTGAATTTCTGTTAATCTGTACATTGGGTATAATGGTTTTTGCTTAAATTAGAATGTACTTATTTGTGTTTAATTGTTCTAAACTTGGAGCTAATTTGTAGAATTCATTTATTTGCTTTTACTCAGCACTCTACAAATTCTCTGTAAAATGTTACAGTGTCTCTTTCACCTTGGGACACCAAATATTCCACAGAGATTGCCCCTTAGTTTAAGGGACCTTACTCTTTTCTTTTACATATATATATATGTATATGTGTAAGCAGGTCTTGGTGGGTTAATGGGACTAAATAAGACAGTTATTTTTGAAGAGCAAGACTTAGTAAAATAATTAAAGATCAAAGATTCTCATGACTAGAAAAGATTTGATTACCTTCAATGAGCCCAATGAAGTAGAGGCCAAATCTCCTGTGGATACTACCAAAATGAGGTCATGTGGCTAACTCGTTGATTGTTAAGAGACCACATTAAAGGCTTCTGAATTGTTTCAAAAGCGTTATATAAATTTAATGCCCCTACCCCAATTCCTGCTTCTAATAAAAATACAGTGTTAGTGTCTGACTACAGAAGTCATACATGAGGAGTTTATATTTTTATTTTTTACTTTATTTATTAATTTTTTTGAGATGAAGTCTCACTCTGTTGCCCAAGCTGGAGTGCAGTGGCACAATCATGGCTCAGTGCAACCTCCACCTCCCACACTCTCATTTTTATAGAGTTTTCCTGACTGTTCTCATTGCATATACTTCTTGATTAAATTTAAGATAATCTTGCCAGGTTTTTAAAAATCTTGGGAGTTTGGTTGGAATTACTTTATAGATATAGAATACTTTAGAAACATTTAGCATATTTAAAATATTGACTCTTCCTATCCAAGAACAATATGTTTTCCCATTTATTCAATTTTTGCTTTCTGTTATTATATTAATTTATGATTAATTTGATATAAATGTTCACATTTGAACATTTCTTGCATTGTATTCTCTAATTTTTGTTTATATACAGGCAAGCTAATGTTTCTTTCTTTTTTTTTTTTTTTTTTTTTGAGATGGAGTCTTGCTCTGTTGCCCAGGCCGGAGTGCAGTGGCGCGATCTCGGCTCACTGCAAGCTCCGCCTCCCGGTTTCACGCCATTTTCCTGCCTCACCCTCCTGAGTAGGTGGGACTACAGGCACCCGCCACCGACCGTGCCCGACTAATTTTTTTGTATTTTTAGTAGAGACGAGGTTTCACCCTGTTAGCCAGAATGATCTCGATTTCCTGACCTCGTGATCCGCCTGCCTCAGCCTCCCAAAGTGCTGGGATTAAGGCTTGAGCCACTGTGCCTGGCCTTTTTATATAATTTTTATCAGTGGACACCTTACTGAACTATAGTACACTTTAGCTTTTTAAAAAAGCTGCTTCTGTTTTCCAGGTATGCAATTATATAATCCTATAGTAATTTTTGTGACTGTCTTTTTAATATCTATATTTCTTCATTAATTTTAGTTTTCTTTCTAATTACTTACAAGGCTAGGACCTCAGAACAATGTTAAGTAGTAGTTGTGACTGCAGGCATTATTTCTAGCCCTGGCTTTACAAGCAGTATTCCTAGCTTTTCACCATTAAGAATGACATTGGCTAGCAAATTAAATACATATTGTTTAATCATTTTATTCCTATTCTAGTGAATTCATTTAATGAAATTGGAAATGAAAACTAAACATCGTCTTAAACTTTTCAAAATACATACAGATTATTATATAGTTTTTCTCTTTTTGAGTTAAATTAAATTAATAAGTTTCCTGGTATTCGATAAACCATGTATTCCTAGAATGAAGTATTTCATTGTTATCACATACTGTCTATATAGCTTTGTATTCCAGTAGTTGCAATTTCAGATTTTGACATCAATTTTCATGTCTGGCCTGGAACTTTATAACAACTTATATTGCTCATTTAAAAATCCACTGTTGCTTCTCTCCAGTTTATTTATATTTTCCAATTTCTTCAGTTAGATGCTTAATTTACATGTTTTTTGTTCTTTTAATGGCTGCTTATAGAAGCACCTTTGTAAATTCAGAGGATTGTGATTCTTTTTCCAGTTGATTAGAGCCAAGTGACCTCTAAATATGCCATACAGTGCATCAGTGAATAGGGTTTATGTACACAAACACATCATCAATACATAAGACATTCCAAGTATCACATAACTGTGCAGCCGTGCCCCATCCTTTTCTTCCTGGTGTTTTGGTGCAGTCACCAAAATCTGATAGGTATGCCAGTTATGGGAGTAGGTGCAGTTATAGCAAGGCATGATGCTGACTTATCTCACTGTATTTCCTTCTGCTTAATCTTCTGTAGACATGCTGTGCAACTTAACATCACTGCCACCCAGAAGCTCTTACGGCTAGTCAGATGCCAAAGCTGGAAGCCTTTATACATATCTCTACTGCCTTTTCAAATGGTAACCTGAAGCACATCGATGAAGTTGTTTATCCGTGCCCTGTGGAGCCAAAAAAAAAATCGTCGATTCCCTTGAGTAATTGGTCAAATAAAGGGATCAAGGTGTGAGTAGAATGTTGCTCTCTTTGATTCTTTGTAGCTGTCTATTAATGAGACGATGAAGAGAAACAGTTTTGCAGCAAAATGCTTTGAAACGGTGCTAGCCTTAGCTACCTTGTCCCTGTTACCTCTTTCATCCCCTGGTGGGGAATATACTGCTGAAAGAGAAGGGGGATAGAAAATTCTTAAAGAAACATTTTGCTAAATTGTATAGGATTGCATGAGGTACTTGGGAATACTATACAAAGAAGTGGTTTCTCGCTTCTTAATGAACTTAGCATTGTCACTAGATAAAGCAAGTACAATGAATAGTATAAAATTTCAGAAGAAACATTTTTGATTCCGACATGAGTTTGGCATAGCTCCACAACTAACTAGCTGTGTGACTTTGAGAAAGTCCCTTGGCCTCTCTGAACCCCAGGTCCTTCATTTGTAAAATGGGCCCATTTGATTGTTGTGAGGTTGAATAAAGTTATATAAAACACTTATTGCAGTGCTAGGGAGTGTTTAATATCAGTTAATCAAATGATTAGTAAAGAAGAACTAACGAAGAATAAGAATTGCTCCAAGATCTGGCAGAAGTTCTCTTGACTTCTTTGGCTGAGACACCCTTTCCTTACTGTCCTATTATGCAAGAGAAATAGTGTCTAGGATTCTTCTCTTCTTGCCAATCAGCAGAAACCACTTTCATCGTAGGACACAGCTTGGGTCTCAGGACAGGTTTGTTTTCTGTTTCTTTATTCTGCTCCATTTCACTAAGTTTACTTTGCTTTTTGTTCAATTTTTTTTAAACTCTACATAAAAAGTATTATACCAGAAAAATGGACTCTTTCACAGTAAATTTATTACATTATAATTTTCTATAATACTGTATTTACATTTAATATATACTCTTTAAAAACTTTTAGCTTAATTAAGAGTTCATTCCCTTCAGGGAAAACATTTTTATCTCCTCCAGCTCTGAGAATAGATATTTTTGTCTGTCATATAAAAATGTCCAGGACAAAGAAGAATGAAAGTCATCTAAAGGACCTGGAGGTTACTTAAAGTTGCTAATAAATGGAGGTTTGCTACATTGATACAGAGAAACATTTTAGAGTGCACAATTTATCAGGATAGTGGGAGAAAAGGCAGGTGTACTCTGAGGCCCAATGTCAAGGCAGTAAACTATGCTTAAAGCCTCAGAGCATTTTCAGGATAGAATTGACTGCTGTCAGTTATCCTCTTATGGTGTTGTCTCTTGGCAAATGTGATGCTTCCATATTTGATGTACCCAGGAGAGGGGCAGACCCTTTTGTTTCCAGACTGTTTCCTGGGACTGTCTCCACTGCTGATCTCTCTAACGCCTGACAGGTCGTAGTGCAATTTGAGGCAGCAAAATAGTCTGAGAGTTCATCAGAGAAAATAAGTAAGAGTTCACTCCTAATGAAGGGCTTCTCTATGTACTCCATACCACCATCTCCAGACACTAAATACCCATGGGTTTCAAAGAAGAATAAACTCACCTCCCAGAGGAAGAGTTGATTTATCTTCAGGCATTCGGCACTTTCCACACTCCCTCAGGTATATGTCAGCCAGACAAGGCTGGTAATTGCTACGTGATATATGAACAAACTGCAATTGACATTTTTACAAAATTTTTAATGTTCATCTGTCATTTACTGCTCTCCAAGGATAACAATTATTTGAGCAACTAATTAGAAATAGGTATGAAATTATTTTATCTCAACAGATACATTTTGCATGCAATTAAGGAACAAAGTTTTTTTAAAAAAAAACAGAGAAAAAGTCATACTTATGATTTGTTAATTCAAAATTAATTAGGACATCCAGGAGCACCTGTGGAGCCTCATTTCTCTCAGCCCTCCCCTTACCTTCATGCTGCAGTCACAAGGAAGTAAGGCCTCCTCTCCTCACACTCTGCCTGCCTTTGCGCTCAAAGCTCTCTGTTCCTAGAGCCTATTTCCCCTTCTGCTTCACCTGGTTAATTCTTACTCAGACATCAAGGCTCCCTGTGAAGCTCTCTGGCTTAGGCAGCCTTCCCAAGTGCCCCATAGTACCCAGCGCTCAGCTTTATTATTGCTTGTAACACAGGTCATTCTGAATGTCTGGTTGCTTATCTACATTTTCCTTTAGACAATGACCGTCTCAATGGAAGAGAATATTTCTTGCTCCTCTTTGCATCTTCAGCTAGGGACTCAATGCTTGCTTGCTGAGTGAAAAGTTTTTGGTGGAACTAGATGATTGTTGTTCATACTGTTCTGACTGTTTTTTTTTTTTTTTGCTTGTTTTGACTGAAACAAGAATAGATGACAGAATTCCACAACAAGCTAATATTTGGGGATGCAGAAGTCTTATGTACAAAATATCTATTTATATCCCCACATCTTACCCATTTCTGATTGTTCATTTTTTTCTTCTTAAAGTTTGAATGAAACCTATATGTGAAGCTTTGAATAGCACTTTACATAAAGCCCAGCAACCCCTCTCCACCTATACCATCATCTATGACTATTTCTTTTTTTTTAAACCAACTTTGTGATTTTTATCGATGGGTGACAACTTTATACTCCTAGATATCACTAAACTGTGTACAATTAGGGATGCAGCATTAGAGAAGAGCAGACAGCAGAATTAAACAGAGCAGACTGAAGGAGAGATCTTCATTATTTGTCCATTTTTCATTATGTGTACACAGAAGCATGAATGCAATCTGAAATCTTTTTAATGGCAGTAAAGTTACAATCATCCATCTATGTAGACTAACATTTTAACTCCAAATATTTGATCTGCAATGTCTATGTAAGCAGTTTCCCTCAGCACAATTACTAATTTTTTTCCTGTTAGGAACCAGCAACTTATTTTTTATGTTTATTTTTCTTTTGAAGTAAGAACTAGTTCTTCTTTGATAACTGGCTCATTTTTATCATTTATCAAAAACTAAAGGGTAGGGAAGAAAAATGTGATGGATTAAAACATTTCTTTTTTAAGGAAGATAAAATTCATTTTCACAAATTTACAAGTGTTGCTGGTGCAGGATTTATTCTACTAAGCAATGAGACTGGGGATCAAATCCACTTTCTTATCTCAGGAATCAGCATTATTTCAGAAATATGGGTTTTTGTGTGTTTTTTAAAATCAAGCGACAGTCTGTTTCAACCAAATGATTTTGATTTCAAAGTTAGAGTCAACAGAAGCTATGTTGTGCACGAACCCCAAGGCATCTCCTTTTCATTCTAGCCCATTTTTGCAAAGGGAGAAAGAGTTTCTCTCTAAAGAGCCAATAAAGAGAGGCGGAAAGTGAGTGTGAGGTGGTGTCCTACAAAGCGGACACTGGGCTCACACACAGCGCACACAGGGTTTACAGCAGGTCCACTCGGCAGTAATACAGGAGATGGGCTGTGCGTTCAGCAGTTGGTTTCACCACCTGGTACTGGTTGATCACCTTGACTGTCTGGTCATCGATGCGCAGCCAGCCATTCAGACCGATCTGGAAGACGTCTCTAGTGTAATGGCCACCCGTCGCACTGTTGCCGTGATGGTAGACCACTGCAAAGAGCCGATAGGTTCTGTGGCATTTAAAATTCTTATTTTTAACCCCTGGAGAAAGCAGTTCTTTACTAATTTCCAAGTCCACAGGATATTCAATAAGCTTCTGGCACCACCAGTTTTCTCATAAACGAATCGTTTCAGGTGCAGCACGAGGACAGGAGGGAGTTTTTCCAGAGTCACTCTTCGACTTTTCTCAACTTCTTGTTCGGTTTTTGTGGTATAACCTTGGACAGATTCTCTTGCCACCAAGCTCTCCAGTGCATCCTGGACTGTGCGTATTTTGTCAGACTGGATATCCAACTGCAACGTGAAAAATGGCTGCAAAGTGGCAGATTCTTTTGCACTCTGCTGGTAAACCACAGACCTGATGTGGCCACCAAAAATGTGGTGATTGGAGTCTGAACAAAATCCGCCTGGCGGGTGATGGAAGTCTTGTTCCGGGGGCCCACTTGTTCCCATTCATCCTCGCTTCCTTCACCTTGTTTTTCTTGCTCTTCTTCATTGACTGGTTTTTGGGGCCATTGGAAATCGCACGTTTTTCATTATTTGGTGAGAGAAGCTTCTTTAGGTTCAACATTTCCTCATGAAGTCCATTTAGAATGAAGCCTAAGTATTCCTCAGCATCTTCTTGTCGATCCTTTTCAGACAGGCTTGACTTGTTAACTGTCAGGAGTCTAAATATACGTGGGCTCAAAGGCAGCTCCAGGGCGAATATCCCTCACGATTTTATCTCCAAGAGCTTGTCCGGGTTTTGGAGGTACTGGCATATTAGTAAATTCATTCATTAGCCAAACAAAGCTGTCTACCTTGGGTGTTGACGTACAGGGCCTTTGCACTTTGGAATACAGAGGAATGAACTTCATCAGGTGGTACATTGTCGGGAAAGCAACCAATGCCTGGCTACAGGATCCCCTGAAACTGGAACAAGCCCTTCTTTGACTTCAACCTGCTTTTCAGAAACCAGGGGAGATATAGCGGGAGGGGAATACTTAGCTTCCACATAGGCCACCGGCCAGGAGGAAGAGGGCTTAGAATCGTGAAAGAGACTGGTCCAGGACCTGGGCTGGCTGACAGGAAGGGTGCCTGATGCAGAGCCCGTGCCGTCAGCAGGAGGTGATGGACTCTCGGGTTTGGCTGGGTCCAAGTCTATGCTTTCCATGGTGTGCAACTCCACCCCGTTGGTAGCTGTGCCCTCACCCGAGGATTCGAGTATTTGTCCATTAGCAACTCCAAGGTTTTCAGTAGTATCGGTACCAACGCAGGGCTGAGCCCCAGCTGTCCTTGACAGGGTGTCTCTGCCAGCCCCTGCAGGGAAGCAGGACTGACCAAAATCAACCCCGGGACCCCCCTCCTGCTGCCCTGCAGTCCCGGTGTCACTGCCGAGTGCTCCGGGGAAAGGACTGTCAGGCACAATGTCACTGACAGAGTCCGTGGAGTTCTGGGGGCTGTCAAAAGTCCTGGGCGTAACTGACGGGGGCATGTCACCCATAAATTCTGCATCCTCTGCACTGACACTGTTCGGGACTGCTGAGTTGGCATGGCCATTGACCAGGGCTTCTGTGGAAATACTATCATCGCCACCATCTTTCAAACAGCTGTAATATCCAGGTGGCTGCTTTTTCTTCTTTTTACGCTCCCTTTGTCCAAGACCACCTGAGACACCATCATTTTCCAAAACTTCCGCCTCCACACTAGAACTTCCATCCAAAGCGAGGGCACAGCCTGGGTACTGGTCGATGGAGCCATAGCTTGCTTCTTTAGTGATACCATCAGGGGTTGTTTTGGAAGCTGTACAACCGAGAATAAATTCGGGGGCCTGAGGGTTCAGTGTGCTTGAAATACTGTAGCTGGGGGTTCTCAGCAAAGTGTCACTGGGTTCAATGACTTCATTGACACCAAACTCAATTCTCCGATATTCTTGTCCATCAGGTAGTTTATCCCCAGCTTGTGTGCCACACAGAACTGTTCCACTGCATGGAGGAAGCTCAACTGAAGATCGAGGAGTCACAAAGAACTGATTGAATTCATCAGGGCTAAAATCTCCAAAAATATACTGCGGGCTGTGGAGGGCCATGGCTGCCGGTTTCAATGGGACTCGGCGCTCCTCCGGCTGCTCACGCTGCCTCCCCCGCCGCCGCCATCTTCTCCCCCGCACATACACCCATCTATGACTATTTCAATAACTCCTATAACAGATGGAATTTTTGCAAGTTTTAGAATAACAAATAACATTAAAAATCCTTATGAATAAACATTAATTTACCTAAATGCAGGTTTAGTTTTTTGCTTTAAGAAAATACTTTTGATGAGTTCTCTATTTAGTAATTGGCCTGTGTTATAAAAGAATTATTTTCAAAGGTTTTTAGGTTTCTGTTTCCCCTGGGAGTTTGTTTTTCTTTCAGTGAAACAGAGAAATAGCTAGGGAACAGTTTTTTTTTTTAAACAGTAACTTCAAGGGGTCTAGCAGCTGTCATTTGCTCTTAGTATTTCAGCTGTTCTTAAGGAATCAGGAGTTAGACATCAAGATAATCTAGAAGCTGTACTCTGGGCATTGTGATCTCAAAAAAATAGCCATGACACTGTAAAAGGAAACTTTATTTTTCCAGAAAATCTGTTGAATGGGAATTCCAGTTCTGGAAGATAAAGAAGGATTTGCATTTTTGGCCAGGACCTTTCTGATGGCTTGGGCAGCAGTGATACTGCTCAGTGCTGTTAATAAAGTGAATGGGACTGTGAACGTGAACCTCATGCTTACATCCTGGTCCCTACCTTTGCAAGCCTAACGTCTCTCTTCGTTCAGCTCCCCCCATTTTCTATTCGGCCTATATCCTGAGACTGTCGGGCCTGAGCTCCCTTTCTTTAGCCCCTATCTAAAAATTTTAGATTACCTTGGCTCTGAAATATTCCAGAAAGATGAAATTTGATTTTGTTAGCACAAAAACTTTAGCATGTCAGCATAAAAATATTTTAAAATAACTTAAATGAGAAGTTAATGTTTGTAATGAGTAGGACAAGCATGGCCATTAATCAGTGTTAAGCAACTAATTTTCCTGGCTCTTATACCTGTAGTTTTCTTCTGGCCCTCATCCCAGCCACCAGTTCCCATCCTGACTCATCTCTATCTTCATATTACCACCTTCTGCCTATTTGCTGTATTTACCTTGGAAATTTAGTGGCATAAATGGATCAGGGATTGCCAGTGAAATTCTGGTTTTCCAGAATAACAGCTTAAGTAGAAAGTTTATTTTTTAAAATGCACATAACTGACTAAGAAAGGCAGAGTTTTATGGTTGGTGCTTTTCTTATGTTTTAGGTCAAGGTAACTCCTCTTAGGGGAACCAGTGTAGAAGAAAAGGGCTTCTGCACCTGTATAAAAACCTGAAATAACTAGAATTAGGAACTAGAAAAATGGAATCACAAATACCTATTGCTTTATTGAACATATGTTAATAAATCTGAATTAAGAAGGGAAGGGAGGAGATGAGTCATTATTGAGCAATCACTGTGAGCGAGATGCTTTCACAGACATTTATTTCCATAACTTAATATTGTAGGGTTGATTTATTATCACTGCTATACTAATTAAGGAGCAAAAAGCTCAGGAAGGCTAAGTAACTCCTTGAAAGTCTCTCAAGACTTTCTTTACCTTTCAAGAAAGGTATCCATGGCCACTTGATTCTGAAGCTCATGGTCTTTCCAGTCTACTCACATACTCGGCAGTGTTAGAGATTAAAAGGTGCTTTCTTAAGATATAGACTGTTCCCAAGGAGCTCACGTCCCAGACAAATAGAACAGGGAAGAATTATACACGTGGGGTGGTGGGGAAACAGTACATATTAAGTCTGGTGGAGTGGAGAGAGGCATATGAGGTGACTTGGAAGAGTGGGAGGAGTGTGGATAGGTGAGATGTGCACAGACACCAGGCAGGGCAACTGGAGCTGGGAAACCCAGGCGTGTTTGGGACACAGCCAGAAGTCCCTCTTGGCAGCACATGTGTTATGTGTAGGGAAGCAGTTAGAGATCAAGCTGGAGAGGCAGGTTGGGCCATACTGTGGAGATTTTGCATACCATGCAGAGGAATTGGATTTAATTCTCTAGGCAGTGGAGATCCATTGAAGGAGGGCCATGTGTGTGCATGTGGTTTTGTGTAGTTTTTGGTTGCTTGCTCATTTGTTTTCATCGTGGAAAGACACTGATGAAAGTGGGCTTCAGTAATATTAATATGGCCAGGGGCTGGGGGAGGCAGTAGATTAGCATGTGTATTGGGAAAGAAAAAAAAACAATAGGACATGGCTACTGCTTTGCTTATGGGATTACACATACCAAATTAACTCCAGATTAGAACATGCATACTTGCCATGTTTTACATTTCTAGTGCCAGGGATTTAATTTTTTTTAATAAATGAGAAAGTAAAGTTTATTGTGTTTAAGTATTTTTAATGAGATCATGTTTTTAGTGAGAACTGGGACCAAACAGATTTTCTGACTCCAAATAGATATTTCCATTGGAACAGATCTATAAGTATACAGACATGCAAACACATATTTCTTTACTGTTCATAATCAAGTGTCAATTAGTCCTTATTAGAATGTGGGATGTATAAATGTAAGAGAATTTTCAGTTAAAATTGACAGATACATTTTTTAATTGTCCTAAAATGGATTTAATTATTTTTCTTTAATGTTATTTTTATGAGAAGTGATATAACTTTATTGATAATGCATACAATAACTCTTTGTTTTGCACATTGTTTGGAAATACAATGTATTTTGCAAGTAACTAAAGCCCAATTTAAATTAAAATTTTAAATTTTCAATCTTTTTAATTGTGATTATTATTATACTTTAAGTTCTGGGATACATGTGGAGAACGTGCAGGTTTGTTACATAGGTATACACATGACATGGTAGTTTGCTGCACCCATCAACCTCTCATCTACATTAGGTGCTGGAGATGATGTGGAAAAAGAGGAACGCTTTTACACTGTTGGTGGGAGTGTAAATTAGTACAACCATTGGGGAAGACAGTGTGGCTATTCCTCCAGGATCTAGAACCAGAAATACCAATTGACCTCACAATCCCATTTCTGGGTATATGCCCAAAGATTATAAATCACTGTACTATAAAGACATGCACACACATGTTTATTGCAGCACCGTTCCCAATACCAAAGACTTGGAACCAACCCAAATGCCCGTCACTGATAGACTGGATAAAAAAAGTGGCACATATACTCCATGGAATACTCTCAGCCATAAAAAAGGATGAGTTCATGTCCTTTGCAGGGACACGGATGAAGCTGGAAGCCATCATCCTCAGCAAACTAACACAGGAACAGAAAACCAAACACCACATGTTCTCACTCATAAGTGGGAGTTGAACAATGAAAACACATGGACACATGGAGGGGAACATCACACATTGGGGCCTGTGGGGAGCTAGGGAAGGGATAGCATTAGGGGATTTAATTCTTTCAAAATTTAATTCTGTTGAAATGTTTACTTCAAGAAGCAATGCATTTTTGAGAGCTAATCCTGATCTATTCAAATCTTAACAACTTAAGTTGATGGAGTGGACTTCTTCTAAATTAGTGATTCCCTAATTTGCCTGACTGTTGGAATTTCCAGGGCATGTTGAAAATACACATTATCCAGACTCTTACCTCTGCAGATCTATTTAGTGGTTCTAAAATGGCAGCCAGGAGTCTGGATTTTTCCCAGGGGTCCTGTGTAATTCACACTGATGAACAGGCAAGTTTGGGAAATAGTGCCTTAAGGAGATTTTTCATTAAGCAGTCTTCATTTGAAATGAGGATCGTTTATCTTCTAATACTCCATGCTTCCTCTTTCTCCTGCTCTCCTCGCCTCCTGTTGTCTTTCAGTTCCTAGAAGCTTTAACTGAATGAAAGGTCCTAGTAGATCTGTACCTACTAAAAACCACACTTCTGAAGCTATGTGGCCACCAGAAGACACAGCTAGTCTGCAATGTAAAAAAGGAAAGGTGGTGTGTGCACTGAGGGTACAGGGTTGAGGGGCAGGGAAATGGAGACCCTCACAGCCAGCAGCAGTGGCCCTCATCACAGCCCTCCAGGAGATAGGAAAGGAGGTCAGATCTTGGACAGTAGTCTTGCCTTCCTGCTATAGAACACATTGTTAACACCAAAAAAGCTGATCTCTTCTAGGGGAATGGTGAAAGCTGACTCTAGCACTTGTGCTTTTAATTTCAGGGTGGCACAGCTTCTAAATGGCATCTAAGTTGCTGATACAAAAATGAAAATTCTGTGTACTTTGATATTAGCAGGCTTTAAATACAAACCAGAATAAGATTAAATTGTTTCTTAATCAAATCGAATAATTTTCACATTGGCAGTCCATTCGGCATCTGGCTCATGTTTGGGCTAGGCTGAGTAGTCCGTGAAAGTCTGGAGGGAAATACAGAGGCCAATTCTCCATAAGCATTAGGTTGAGAAATACCCTGCTTCCCCATGAAAAGTTTAAATTGATGTGACGCCACCTTCACCAAATCGAGGTTGGTCAACACTTTTCACCACTGCCACTGGACACTTTGACTTCCAATTTTGCTTCCTGCTCTATGAAGATATCCCCTTCTTTCCTTTCCCACATTCTCCCTATAACCTCATCTTCCTTTCGTCTACTCTCTCTTATCATTGTCCATCTCTGCTTCCCAAAACCTTATATAGTACAGAAATTGACCAATCAAGATTACCATGTGGAAGAGCATCCATTTACTGAATAAGGTAGCTGGCTCCTGGGGGCAGAAAAGTGATTAGATACAGAGATAAAAATCATAATCCCTGCTCTCCTGGACTCACTGTCCAATGGGGAGACAGACACGTGAACAAATACAACTTCGTAACTACAACAATCAAGTGAACTATATAATTTAGACTGGAGAAAGAAAGAGCAAATGTTATCATAAGACAGTGTGTCCACTACTTACTCTCTAACAGATTTCCTCATAAACCACTAGGCTTGCCAACTTGTTGCATAAGAAAATTGGAAGGTGAGGGAGGGAAAATACATATGCCTCTTGGCATTTCATTCTGTAAATACATAAATAATGTAACTATTAATGATATCATCATGTTGATTCAATAAGTTTGAAACCAAAATTGATAGTAATCTTTAGAAGAAATTATGTATGTGTCTATGCATGTACACACATAGACATACACATATTGCTTTCTGAAATTTTTAATGACTTTATGCTTCTTCTGAAGCAATTCGAGTTTAGTATTTGAGACCCATGGGTCAAAGCATCTTCTTGAGTATACTGAAGAACATTTAGATTAATTTCAGACATGTATTTTGGTTAATATAGTGGTTTTTATCCATGCTAACTTATTTACTGTTTAAAAACATATTGAGAACAAACAACAGCAGCAACCCTGAATTGAGTGAAAGTCCTGAGAAGGGCTTTGCCCAATCAGTGCATATGCATGTTTACACTAATCTCCTTTCTGATCCTAGGAAGTGGCCGAATGAGCTAGCAGATGGTCTCTTTGGCTGTATTATAAACGATAATTTATTTTTATTTGTTTTATTCATTCATTCCTTCATTTTGAGACAGGGTCTCACTCTTTCACCCGGGCTGGAGTAGGGTGGCAGAATCACAGCTCACTGCAGCCTTCAACTCCCAGGCTCAAGCAATCCTCCTGCCTCAGCCTCCTGAGTAGGTGCACGCCACCATGCCCAGCTAATTTTTAAAAACTCTTTTTGTAGAGACAGGGTCTTATTATGTTGCCCAGGCTGGTCTCAAACTCCTGGACTCAAGCGAGCCTCCTTCCTTGGCCTCTCAATGTGCTGGGATTATAGGTTAGAGTCACCACACCTGGCCAGAAACGACATTTTAAAACCAACTATTACCTACACAGATGTATGATGCTCCCTTGTTTTCTTTAAAAATAGGAATGCCTTAGATTTTTGGCTCATTTTGTTTTATCAAAGATCTTAAATGCAGTTGTGAAAATTTTTGTTTACCCTCATAATAGCCTGAGAATTTAGAATGAATATAATTATTGCTATTTTCACAAGTAAAATTGGAATGAGAAGATTAAACAGTGGAATACAGGTGTAAATAACAACAGCAGAGGCAAGCCATCTATAGAATATTAAAATTTCTTGCATGTGTGTTACCAACATTTTCTCATGCCTGAAATCCCAGCACTTTGGGAGGCCGAGGCAGGTGGATCACCTGCGGTCAGTAGTTCGAGACTAGCCTGGCCAACATGGTGAAACCCCGTGTCTACTAAAAGTTCAAAAATTAGCCAGGCGTGGTGGCAGGCACCTATAATCCCAGCTACTCAGAAGGCTGAGGCAGAAGAATTGCTTGAACCTGGGAGGCAGAAATTGCAGTGAGCCCAGACTGCACCATTGCCCTCCAGCCTGGGGGGGACAAGAGCAAGACTCCATCTCCAAAAAAAAAAAAAAAAAAAACAAACAAATAAACCAAACCAAACCAAAACAACAACAACCAAAAACAACATTTTCCAAGACAAGCAAAGCTACTAAACTTTATAAGGCCCCATCCCCCCAAGTATTATGCTTTCCATGTACTCCAACATTAACGACAGCAACTGGTACTAGCCATGTGACATACAATCCCAGCACATTGTTCGGATCTGATGTTTTCTAGGAATTTTTTCTTTACAGCCTTATTGATATTAAGCTCTATTTTCTCAAGACCTGGTTTTCATAAACTGTATATTTTTGCGGTTGAGGGAAAATGATCTCAGGTCAGTCAATCCACTGTTGACCCACAAATGAAATAAGGTAGGCTTATTGTTAAGATGGAGAGGTGTCTGCATCATCCTACACTTTTTCCCAGCCTCCAGGTGACCATATAATTAAAATATCCTTGATATTTCTATGTAGTTTAAGTTGTTTTTAATTCTAGAACCCCTCAATCTTTCTCCATTCAATTTAAATGAAAAGTCATTTGAGTATCCAGAACACACTCAGCACTCATAGAAGCAAAGCAAGAAAAATGGAAACATTATAGTCAATGCCCATGTTCTACCCCAGGATGAAATGAGGCATTAATACTGAGAGTTGTGATTCTGAATAAGTCTTAACCTTCTGCACATCTTAGTTGTTCAAAAATGTGTCATGTCAGCAAGGTGATAACAGTGAAGATTTTCTACAATCAAAGTAGTATTGTTATGTTCTGTTGTATAAAATAGAAATAAATGTACCACATTGATCAGAAAAATCACACTAGCATATTCTGGCAGCTTAAATTTTTTATTATTGTACTTTAAGTTCTAGGGCACATGTGCACAACGTGCAGGTTTGTTACATAGGTATACATGTGCCATGTTGGTTTGCTGCACCCATTAACTCGTCATTTACATTAGGTACTTCTCCTAATGCTATCCCTCCCCTAGCCTCCACGCTAGGACAGGCCCCTGTGTGTGATGTTCCCCGCCCTGTCCAAGTGTTTTCATTGTTCAATTCCCACCTATGAGTGAGAACATGCGGTGTTTGGTTTTCTGTCCTTATGATAGCTTGCTCAGAATGATGGTTTCCAGCTTCATCCATGTTCCCGCAAAGGACATGAACTCATCCCTTTTTGTGGCTGCATAGTATTCCATGGTGTACATGTGCCACGTTTTCTTTCTTTCTTTCTTTGTTTCTTTGTTTCTTTCTTTCTTTTGTTTTATGGAATAAAAAGTTCGGCCTTTTTACTGCATGAAACTAAAATTGGAAAAGGTGGGCGTGGATGGGGTGGGAGGGGGTTGAGGGGAGCAGGAGATGCCCTCTCCACCAGCTCCTGGGTAATGACACCTCACTTCTTGCATAATTTCTGGCATCTTCCTGCCTGCAATGCCAGCTCTCTCAGCATCTTGGAGAAGGGGGGATCACACACTCATCGTCATGCTTGGAGAGTAATTGTCATTCTGAAAGGAGTGGAGGAAGTTTCCTCCTAGCTCGCCGTCATCTCGAGGGGTGCCTGGAAGATTGCTAATACTATTCACGTTGTTAGGAGAATTTTTTGGAAGTCATTTATGTTGCCTGACCCTAACAATCCGTTCATGTGGTGTGGCTCCATGCCACCCATGCTGCCCATCGGACCGTCCAAGCTGGGACCCATCGGGAAGTTGGACCGGCTGCCTCCAGGTGGCACCAGATTAATCAATGTGTAGATGTTGTCGCTGGAATTTGTTGAATCTGAGGGACTGGGCATAGTGGGTGTTCCTGGAGGGCCACCACCACCAGGGGGTCCCACATAGGTACCAGGTGATGAGGAGGAGTATGGAATTGAGTTAGCACTGTTAGAATTGGGCTAGGGTCTGCCGGCTCCCGGGCCCATGTTAATCCCGGGCATGGCAGGGCCAAGGGAATTGGGTGGTGGTCTCATGCCACTGCCGTAATTCTGTGGGCTGGGACTCATGGGCACCATGCCTCAGGGAGGGTTCATTCTCTGCATTGATCCTTCTATGTGGGGGTGGCCTTGTTGTCGTGTGGGATCCATGGAATTGGGCAGCAATGGCTGTTTCCCAGGAACTCCTCCGGAGGAGGCTGGTTTCCCATTCTGATCGGGGGGCCTGGGGCCGCCTGCGTATTGCGGTGACATAAAAGGCTGACTGTGGGGTCCCATCATGCTGCTAGGATTGTGAGGTGGAGGCTGTGCATGCAGTGAGGGCAGTGACCCCGGAGGACACTGAAAGAAACCTGGCGAGACTCGGCCTCCCGGCATCCCATCGTTGGGGGGAATGTTGCCAAGCACGGGGCTCCGGGCAGCTGCTGCACTAGAATCAGGAAAGGCTTTTGCTTCACTTGAATGTTCACAAGTGTCTCTCCTTTTAGGAGCTGCACAGTAAAGGTCCCAAAATACACACCACCACGAGTGCAAAAACCGAGGCTGTTCTCCCAACGTGATGTTTTTTTTTTTTTTTTTTCCCAGAGAATCTCCGATAAGAAGGTCTGTGCAGATTTCTGTGCTCCTACCTGCAGTAAATATTCGTAGACGTATAAAGCTAACTTTTCCCCAGCCTGCCCGTCCGAGGGCACCAACGAGCCTTTGTCTTTGGCAAACATGGTTTGCAGGGAAGAGGGCTCCAAGCCTCGCCACAGCCGCCACAGCTCCGGCTCTCCCGAGCTGCCCCTGGCTCCCGGCCCCCTCCCAGGCGCTCGCTCGCTCTCTCGCTAGCTGGCGCTCTCCTCGCCGCGCTCCCCTCCCTCCCGACCAGGCGCTGGCTCCGCGCTCTTTTCAGCTGTCAAAGCATCAGCCCGGACCAAGGCCCCATCGCCCTGGAACTCCTCCCGTGCCGGCTGGGCCTGGGGTGCCGCCGCCGCCGCCTCCCGAAAGGCCGCCAGGTCTCTGCTAGCTCAGGTGCTCGCCAGGCTCCGCCTGCACCGCCCTCTGCGCCTCCAGTACCGCTGCGGCCGCCGCCGCTGGTCTCATGTGTCATATTTTCTTAATCCAGTCTATGGTTGATGGACATTTGGGTTGGTTCCAAGTTTTTGCTATTGTGAATAGTGCCGCAATAAACATACGTGTGCATGTGTCTTTATAGTAGCATGATTTATAATCCTTTGGGTATATACCCAGTAATGGAATCTGGGTCAAATGGTATTTCTCGTTCTAGATCCTTGAGGAATCGCCACACTGTCTTCCACAACGGTTGAACTAGTTTACACTCCCACCAACAGTGTAAAAGCGTTCCTATGTCAAGCAATGGCAACAAAAGCCAAAACAGACAAATGGGATCTAATTAAACTAAAGAGCTTCTGTGCAGCAAAAGAAACTACCATCAGAGTGAACAGGCAACCTACAGAATGGGAGAACATTTTTGCAATCTATCCATCTGACAAAGGGCTAATATCCAGAATCTACAAAGAACTTAAACAGATTTACAAGAAAAAACAAAACAACCCCATCAAAAAGTGGGCAAAGGACATGAACAGACACTTCTCAAAAGAAGACATTTATGCAGTCAACAGACACACGAAAAAATGCTCACCATCACTGGCCATCAGAGAAATGCAAATCAAAACCACAGTGAGATACCATCTCACACCAGTTAGAATGGCAGCTTAATTTTTAAAACGCTGTATCAATAATTTAAGCACATAGATCTCTCAGCTAGAATAAATGTTACATATTTAATTGACAATAATTTTTTGCTCTCTTAGAGATGTGTAGATAGACTTTGGGTTTATCAAATGGTTCTTTTTTTTTTTTTTTTTGAGATGGAGTCTCACTCTGTCACCAGGCTGGTGTGCAGTGGTGCGATCTTGGCTGATTACAACCTCCGACTCCTGGGTTCAAGCGATTCTCCTGCCTCAGCCTCTCAAGTAGCTGGGATTACAGGCATGTGCCACCATGCCCAGCTCATTTTTGTATTTTTAGTAGAGACGGGGTTTCACCATGTTGGCCAGGATGGTCTCGATTTCCTGACCTCAATATCCGCTCGCCTCGGCCTCCCAAAGTGCTGGGATTACAAGTGTGAGCCACTCCGCCAGGCCAGTTCTGACATATTTTTAAGAAAGATTAGGCTGATGCTATGGTAACTCAGTTATTCATGATACATGTCATATTATAAGTAGGAGAATTCAATATTCATGATTTTGAAGCAATTTCAGAGTACTATAATCACCCCACTTGACAGACTTCGAATTCATTGGAAATCTCTGGAAATAATTAGCAAGTTATTAGCACAGACTCTAAACAGACCTTCAAAATGCGTTACATAGATTTGCTAGAAGAGATTGTCAGTCTGCCAAAAGTAGTCACTTTGGTTTGATTTGCATTGAATGAAATTTTTTAAATGTAAAGCTAAACTCTTCAGGATCACTGCACCAGGTTTCTATGGGACAACACTGAACAGGGCTGCCACTGAAACACCTTGGATGAGAGCCTCAAACTCCCTGAACACAGCTTCCAGCACACTATTGGGAGAATGACTGGAACTCAAAAATGTGTGCAATGAATGTACTTAGGAGCTTCTTGGAGAGGAAGTAAAGAGGTTGTATGTAATAACCTCCAGTTTAGTACTACTACAGATAAAGTAGTAGTATTGGTAAAGTAATTGATAAATAAATAGTAGTGCTAAAGTCATACTAATAAAGTAGTACTAATAGCCCTATACTAGTAGTAATAATAAAGTGGTATTGCTATTGATTCTATTGGTCTCTCTACCTACCTATCTCTCTAGATGGGAGGGCATAGGATTTGGCTGATGAGATTGGGCTTAGCAGTGAAGAGCAAAGAGCTCATGCATGCTTTGAACAGGTATGCCCTCAAACTTGGTATTGTGTGACTAAATTCCAGAACCAAGGCTAAAAGGTGGAAGTTTTGTTTGACTATTTGCGTGTCACATTTTCCTTTTGGTCTATTGTCTAACATATGCTGCTAGAATTCTTTTCACTCTGACTACTTTTTACGTGGTTAGACGACGCTGTTATTGACGAGATCACACCCAAGCTGATCAGAGATCCGCCCAATTCTTGCACCTACATCAAGGCCTTGGGAGAAATGGTGGTGCAGCAGGAGAGCAGAAACCTAACCATCGCCATCATAAGGCCCTCCATTGTGGGAGCAACGTGGCATGAGCCTTTCCCAGTAAGCCCACTCACCTGGATTCTGTGTTTTGCTTCCAAATTAAAGTTCTTCTAGCCCAATTACTTTCTGATGTCGTTTCTCCCCCTTGTCCTCCTTCTCCTTCTTCTTTCTTCATCTTCTTCCTCTTCCCCTTCCCCTCTTCCTCCTCCTCCTCCTCCTCTTCCTCCTCTTCCTCCTCCTCAGGATTTATAGCTAAGTGCAGCCAATCAAATATGAACCCATTATACTAGGGCAAAATTCCACTTTGGGATCAGGATTTACTCAGCATGCAGCTTCTCTGGCAGTTACCCTGACTGTCCTAGAGTTGAATGGAGATCTTAAATTAGCTTCTAATTACTCTAGCCTCAAAATTCCCATGGGTGATGGCTTCATATCTTGGCTTTCCCACTATAGTTTAAACATACCGAATGTTCTTAATGGTCAAATTGGTAGTATTGCAACTGCCAGGGTAAACAAGGGTTACAAAGTGCACAGAAGGATCCCAGTTTGGGAATACTGTTTTTCCTAACCTCAGTATAGTGCTATGTCCTTTTAAAAGTACTTTGAATTATGCTATCTTCTTTTTTTTATTATACTTTAAGTTCTAGGGTACATGTGCACAATGTGCAGGTTTGTTACGTATGTCTACATGTGCCATGTTGGTTTGCTGCACCCATTAACTCGTCATTTACATTAGGTATTTCTCCTAATGCTATCCCTCCCCTAGCTTCCATGCTAGGACAGGCCCCCGTGTGTGATGTTCCCCGCCTTGTGTCCAAGTGTTCTCATTGTTCAATTCCCACCTATAAGTGAGAACATGCGGTGTTTGGTTTTCTGTCCTTGCGGTAGTTTGCTCAGAATGATGGTTTCCAGTTACATCCATGTCGCTACAAAGGATATGAACTCATCCTTTTTTATGGCTGCATAGTTCTCCATGGCTTGTATGTGCCACATTTTCTTAATCCAGTCTATCATCGATACAGATTTGAGTTGGTTCCAAGTTGTTGCTAATGTGAATAGTGCTGCAATAAACATATGTGTGCATGTGTCTTTATAGTAGCAGGATTTATAATCCTTTGGATATATACCCAGTAACGGGATCGCTGGATCAAATGGCATTTCTAGTTCTAGATCATTGAGGAATCGCCACCCTGTCTTCTACAATGATTGAACTAGTTTACACTCCCACCTACAGTGTAAAAGTGTTCCTATTTCTCCACATGCTCTCCAGCACCTGTTGTTTCCTGACTCTTTAATGATCGCCATTCTAACTGGTGTGAGATAGAATTATACCATCTTCTGTAAAGCAAGTCTGTGAAGCTTTGGGGCGGATAAATTCCAGCTCCACCACTTACTGGCAATGCAAAATTTTTGAGTTGTCCCTTCCATAAAACAGGAGGGATACTATTTTGGAGACCTGGTTTAATGAGACAATGTATGAGGAGTGCTCAGTCTCTAGTAAAAGGCAGGTCCTTACTAAAAGGCTCATGGATATTAATCCCTTCATCTTCTCCTCCTGCCTCTCTCCTTTCCCATTATACACACACATTTTGACTTTTACACTATGAGGTAAAGAGACATAATAAGGTCAGCTGAATGGCTTAGGGTTTAGGAAACAAACTCAAAAAGACATTTCCCTCTAATTGTTCTTAAACATAATCTTCCCTGTAACATCTTTAAGCAAGTCAACACACACACACACACACTACATATACACACACACACACTACATATACACACACACACATACATATGTGTATCTGGCATGGGCTCTATAGCTGGTCAAAAATGTCAAGGAATGGGCCATTACTACCAATCATGTCTCCAATATTCTCCTAAGGAGGCTAAAGTCAGGACTGAGGTGGAGAAGTATGGTTGGTGAATTGCTTAGCAGATCATAATATAAGAACAAGGTTCAATGTGGCCCTTAAGATGTCATAAAACACCACAAAACCATTCATGACTCCTGCTACGAACAACAATCCTGGCCAAATTTTAATTTTTGCATAGTCAAGGTGCAGAAAATAGCCAATGCTTTGCCACTGATCCTTCAGATCTTAATAATACTGAATTAGATAGTTCTGTTGGCTGGGGTCTCAGTGCTCTTGTTTGAAATTTATTAAGATGAGACTGCAGATGTTTCAAAGATACAACAATCTTCTGAAATGTGTAACCAATAGAAACCTTCTTTCTTTTAGGGTTGGGTTGAAAATCTAAATGGACCTAGCAGACTTATTATTGTGGTATGTTTAAGGATGAAGAAATAACTCTCTGAAATGTAGTGGAGGAATAGTAATAAAATTCTTAGTGCTGGCTTAAATTCATTGATCCCAAAACATAAATGTTACTTTACTAACAATTGAAGCATATTATTGCAATTATGCTGATCGTAATATAGAAGTAGGAAGAAATTATTTTTATTCTTCAAGGATTTTTATCAGAAAAGCCAAGGTAATGTATTATCAATTACCATTCAGGAATTCTTCTTTAAAAAACTTTTTTAAATTAAAAATATTAGTCTTAATTGAGTGTGGATAATAGAAATCCCATAATTATCTTATTTTTATTAGACACCTTCTCAAAGTAGTTTTACATTACTTTATTCTCCTTTTGTTTATAATATAATAAATGTGTCTGAAACAATATGTACAACAGACTAATAAATGGTTCTGTTTAGCTAAGACTACTCTAGTCTATACCATGAAAATGTTCGGTCTAAATTTCTAAACATTATAAACAACAATTTTTTGAAGTGCTCTGATTTTCCTAAGAATACAATACTCCTGACTTTCTTAAGTTTACACATGTAAATGAGAAGGAACTATAAATGAAAATATCATACCTCTTCTTTAGCTATTAGAATTTTCAGCTGAGGTTTTATATCATCACCAATTTAGTGTCACTCCTTTGCTCTGCAAACTTCAGCTCTCAATATATAGTTAATACTTTTATTTTCTGGAGATTTTTAGACTTTAAAGAACTCATTCAAGATTGTTTAAGAAACAAAGCAGGGGATGAATTGAAGACTTTCGTTTTAAAAGTAAGTGCAGCACAATTATGAAGATTAAGCCTGGTGAATATGAAAGGCAGACAGCACCAAATGCTGGTGATGCTGGTAGGAATGCAAATGTTACACCACTTACGAAGACAGTTGGTCAGCTTTTTACAAAACTAAGCAAACTCTTATCATATAATCTAGCAATAATGCTCCTTAGTATTTACCCAAAGAAATTGAAAACATGTCCACACAAAAACCTGCACGATAATGTTTATAGCGGTTTAATTCATAATTGCCAAACTTGGAAGCAACCAAGATGTCCTTCATTAGGTAAATGGATAAACTGTAATACATCCAAATAATTAAATGTTATTCAGCATTAAAAAGAAATGACCTATCAAGCCATAAAAAGACATTAAGCAATCTCAAATACATGTTTCTGAGTGAAGCCAATCAGGAAATGCTACGTACTGTATGACTCCAGCTACATGACATTCTGGGAAAGGCAAAACTATGGAGACAGTTAAAAAAAATCAGTGGTTGCCAGGAGTTATGGGGGACAGAGGGACGCACAGATGGAGCACAGAGGAATTTTAGGGCAGTGAAACTCTTCTGTATAATACTATAATTATGGATATTACGTTCAGATTTTTAAATAAATAAAACTGAAATTTAAAATAGAGTAAGAGGGAATCAGGTTAATTTGTTTCAACTGAAATTCATGATCACAAAGCTCCTGTCTTTATGTTTCCCAGAAAAAAATATTCCCTGCCCCATTCACTCTCATCCTTTCCCAGAGTAACAGTTCATACTTATTTTCTCTCCTTCCCATCTTAACTCTTTACTGATGACTTTATTTTCAATTTCACTTGTAAAAAAAAAAAGTGGTCATTTGACAAGAATTTCAAAATCTCTAGTCTCTTCATCTGCTCATCTTTATATATCTATACCTACATTCTGTTATCTCTCCTTTTCATATGGATGAACTGTCTTTGCTTCTAAATAATGTCCACCCCTCTCACTGTGACTAGGTGCTGTGTCTTGTTGTATTAGGATTCTCTAGAGGGACATGACTAATAGGATAAATGTATATATAAAATGAGTTATTAAAGAGTATTGACTCACACAATCACAAGGTGAAGTTGCACGATAGGCTGTCTGCAAGCTGAGGAGCAAGAAAGCCAATCTGAGTCCCCAAATCCCAAAAGTAGGGAAGCCAACCGGGCAGCCTTCAGTCTGAGGCCAAAGGCCTGAGAGCCCCTGGCAAACCCCTGGTGTAGGTCCAAGAGTCCAAAAGCTGAAAGAACTTGGAGTTTGATGTTTGAGGGCAGGAAGCAACCAGCATGGGAGAAAGGTGGAGCCAGTCGAGCCCTTCCATATTCCTCTGCCTGCTTTTATCCTAGCTGTGCTGGCAGCTGATTAGAGGGTGACCACCCAGACTGAGGGTGGGTCTGCATCTCCCAGTTCACTGACTCAACTGTTAATCTCCTTTGGTGACACCCTCACAGACACACCCAGGAACAATACTTTGCACCCTTCAATCCAAGCAAGGTGACACTCAGTATTAACCATCACACCTGTTATCTACTCATGCCTGTCATTCCAGAAATTTTCTTGCTTCTTTTTCTGCATCTGAAATTTTAATTTCTCCACCAAGTTCTTCACATCAAAAAACAAAAAAAGAAGTTATTTCTTTTAACCTGAAAAAAACCAATAACTCATAAAGAGCTAATGAATAAATTTATCTCAAATGTTTGATAACTTTAATAACTTTAATATTCACAGGTTATATTTATCAACAGATTGCCTTAGGAAAAGAAAAAGACTTCCCATAAACTAGAAGAAAATGTAAAATATAACCAACATATAAACAGCAATGTGTTAAAGAATAATACATAAAGAATACAAATAACACAATTAAATAATGAACAAAGGATATAGACATTATACAAAATATGAAACATGAATAGGCAATATATAATGCTTCATATTAGTAATCAGGGAAATGCTATTAAACATAGAACAGGATGATGTTTTACATTAGCCAGCTTGACAAAAATTGAAAATTTCAATCACAACTGTCAGAGAAATTATAGAACAAAGGAGACTCTTATACATGACTTGTAAGTAATGAGATGGGGAAGAGGACATAGAAGTCACTGCCTCACAATCAATGGCGGTTACTCAGTTCACTAGTCAGCAACGTGTGCTGTAAGTTTCACAATCATTTTGTGCTTTTTGTGAGAGAAATAGTTTAACAAAAGTATAATTTTTATTAATCTCACAATAAATTTGACCTAACATTTTATGTGATTGAATTCCTTTAGACCCCATTATTTTATTATGGCTAGTTTCCTGTGTTTTGTTTTGTAGATACATATAATAACTTTAAAAGACAGAAAAATTTTGTAACATCAGTTACTTCCGGGAGTGAAAGTGGGAGGAATTTTTTTTTACTATGTATTACTTACCTTTTAAATTTTACACTAGGATAATGTATTACTATATTCTGTAACAAAATTAAAATATAACATTTTAAGAAGTTTTAAATTAAAATAAAAAGTTCAGTAGATGAGAGATTCTAATCAGGAGCTAATGACTGATTCCACTATAAACAACTAGAAAACTAGACAAACTATATAAAAAATCATTTTCAAACATTAGACAATCAGCAGCTAAGGACTGTTTTTCTCCAGTTGAGAAGAGACACAAACAATGCAACCCCTACAATAGCCTCTTATTTCTGCCTGGGGATACTTACTGGACAACACCATTGACAGCAGAACCCAGACAGAGCTTGGAGAAGTCCCTGAATTGAAGAGAGAGAAACATTATTTTAGGAGGGCTAAGTGAGCATCTCAAATTTAAAATAATGGACTATACAAAGAAAGAGCTCCAGAAATCAGCATAGGTTTCCCCTGAGTGACCCAGGGACTGGCTAATTCAGTAAGCATCCAGCCCCGGATCTCATGTCTAATTTCCCCTCCTGAATGTCCAGGATCACCACCTTGAGCTGTCTTCATATCTGCAAATGACAGATTCATCTCTGCCCCTCAGGACTGCATAAACCTGTGCAAATACTTTCTACTTTTTATGAAAAGCACACTAATTTCACAAGCAAGTAGCATTTCCTGTGTTTTGGAGGATCAGCTCTAGCTTTGGAATTCAAAGTTATGGGTTAGACCCTTTACTCACTTCACCTTTCTCTGCATACTTGTGCCTGATTTTTCCTCTTTTTTATTTTTATTTTTGTTTGAGACAGACTCTCACTCTGTCACCCAGGCTGGAGTGCAATGGCCTGATCTTGGCTCACTGCAATCTCCTCCTCCCAGGTTCAAGAGATTTATAAAAGAGCAATATAAATTCCTGTGGAATTCCCCTTTTACTTAAGAATTTAACATCAGCAAATTAGTTTAACAAGGCTGTTTTGTAAGAGGCTGCGGTTGCATTCAAAAATTTGAATGGGAACAACGACTTGTAAAAATTCAACATTTTATTTATTTATTTATTTGAGAGGGAGTCTCACTCTGTCACCCAGGCTGGAGTGCAGTGGCGTGATCTTGGCTCACTGCCACCTGGCCCTCCTGGGTTCAAGCGATTCTTCTCCCTCAGCCTCCCGAGTAGCTGGGATACAGAAATGCGCCACCACGCCCCACTAATTTTTGTAGGCTTCACCATGTCGGCCAGGCTGGTCTTGAACTCCCCACCTCAGGTGATCCGCCTGCCTCAGCCTCCCAAAGTGCTGGGATTACAGGCGTGAGCCACCACACAGGACCAAATGTCAACACTTGAAACTACCACCTGTTATATTCACTGTGTCTATGATTGGACATATCTTTTTCAGTGGCCAAAAAATTATAAAACGGACACAGAATAGTCTTTTCAAAAAATTAAGGATGTTCTTTCTTCTTAAAAGGATTATAAGGCCAGATGCGGTGGCTCACACCTGTAATCCCAGCACTTTGGGAGGCCGAAGTGGGTAGATCACCTGAGGTCAGGAGTTCAAGACCAGCCTGATCAACATGTTTAAACTCCGCCTCTACTAAAAATACAAAAATTAGTCGGGCCTGGTGGTGGGCGACTGTAATCCCAGCTACTAGGGAGCCTGAGGCAGGAGAATCGTTTGAACCTGGGAGGTGGAGTTTGTGGTGAGCCAAGATTGCGCCACTGCACTCCAGCCTGGGCAACAAGAGTAAAACTCCGTATTAAAAAAAAGGGTGTGTGAGGGGGGAGGATTCTAAATATAATTAGAACTGGCATCTAAATTAATTTTAGTCGGTATGTGTGTGTGCGTCGTGTGTGTGGATGTGTGGATGTAAATGGCAGTAAAGGATGGGTGTGTGTGGGTGAGTGCAGGTGTGTCTGGGTGTGTGGGTGAGTGCAGGTGTGTCTGGGAGTGTGGGGGTGTGTGCGGGTGTGTCTGGTGTCTGGGTGTAGGTGGGTATGGGTGTGTACGGGTGTGTGTGTGTCTGTGTGTAAGTGGGTGAGTATGGGTGTGTGTGGGGATGTGTGTGTGTGTGTGTAGGTGGGTGAGTATGGGTGTGCGGGTGTGTGTGTGTATGTGTTTACATTGCGGTATGTGTCTCTTGGGTGCCGCCATTAGGGATTTGGAAGAATGAGGACCATAAACTTGTAAACATTTCTACATGCCTGCTACACAAGAAGTGTACCAAGCATGGTCAAAAGTAACTAAACCAAGTAAAGAAATTAGACATTAATTAAACTTAATGCTGGGCAGGAAAGAAGTATTCAGGCCCAGGTAAATTGAAGAAATATAACCAAATAAATGAAATTTTAAAATTAGTAGAATGAGACAGGAATACTTTTTAAAGTTTTTACATTTCCACTACCATTCTATGAAAGTGCCATTTCTGGCCAGGCTCACACCTGTAATCCGAGCACTTTGGGAGGCCAAGGTGGGCAGATCACCTGAGGTCAGGAGTTCGAGACAAGCCTGGCCAACATTATAAAACCCCGTCTCTACTAAAAATACAAGAATTAGCTGGGCATGGTGGTGCACGCCTGTAATCCCAGCTACTTGGGAGGCTGAGGCAGGAGAATTGCTTGAACCTGGGAGGCAGAAATTGCAGTGAGCCGAGATTGCACCACTGCACTCCAGCCTGGGTGACAAAGTGAGAGTCTGTCTCAAGAAAAAAAAGGAAAAAAAAGAGGCCATTTTTGATGATGGGGGGCAAAAACCCTTTGCTATTTTGGTAGATTAAAAAGGGTATGTAGCCATTTTAACTTGTATTTATTTGATTACGAAGTGAGGTTCAACTCTTCTTTGAAAGGCGCTTGTAGTTCTCGTTACATAATAATATTTCAACAAGAAAAATAGAACGGCTTTTCCTTAGAGATAAATAAATAAAATAGTATCTCTTTGAGGCCAACATTCATGTTCATTGTTAACTTTTTACAACCTGGAGTTTTCCATTCAGAATATACGGCTTATTCTCTTAGTTCAGAAATTAGATTCTTGCTGCTTGTTTACCCCAGTTGGCTCTGCAGCCCTGAGAAAGGTTTTTCAGTTCTTGCAAACATTTATATGTAGAGTAGATTTTATTACCATGTAGAAACAGAATAGAAGTTCTTGACAAGTGGAAGTCCTCTGTGATAGGGCAGCCTCGAGTGACCAAAACAGGTAAATTGTGAAAATTTTCAAGTATCAGAAGTAACATTTTTTCCTAAGGCAGGAAACAGTATACTCACAAAGAGATTTTTACATCTGCCTGGGTCTTGGTAGAATCATTAAGGGAAATGCGAATTAAATTAAGAAAACTTTCTTAAAAGACTTTTGTCTTTTAAATAGGTAAAATGAGCTGAGAATACAGATAAAGGTGTGTGAATGGAACAAGTTATGGTGACCCCAGGAAAACCCTTCTCCGGGTTACCTGGCCATCAGCTGTGACCCCTCTGAAGGAGGAGGAAACAAGCACTGCTGTTGAGTGAGCCTGCTCTTCCAAGATGCCAACTCATCTTTATTTTTCTTTCCTAAGTATCTTACACATTTACAGGATCATATAAATTTATTTTCCAAAACAAAATATTTTTGTTGTTTTGCCCATTTCAAAACAAACACGTTTATTTTTAAGTTAATAATGTTGTTAAAAACTCAGTTTATAAAATTGAAAGTTGCTAGGAGTGGTGGCTCATGCCTGTAATCCAATTATATATATACATATAGATATAATCTCTTCTATAATTGGTTTCCATTGTCATATATGCCTATTTTAAATTGTATTTTATTTTATTTTTTAAGAGATGGGTCTCACCATGTTGCCCAGGCTGGCCTTGAGCACCCGTGCTCAAGTGATCCTCCTGCCTCAGCCTCCCAAGTAGCTGAGACTACAGGTGTGCCACTGCGCTGGACTAACATATGCCTATTTGTCTATGTTTATACGTATAAACTTACTCATCCATTAATATTAGTGCATAGAATTCTACTATATAGATGTGCCTTAATGTATTTAAGAAATCCTCCTTCTGATGGACTTTTAAGTCTCTACTTTTTTACTATTACAAGCAATACAGCAATGAACATGAATTTCATGTATTTGTCCCACTTTGGTATTTGTTCCCTTGGAAAAAATTCCAAGATCTGGAATTTGAAGATTAAAGAATGAATACTTTTGTCTGGGCATTGTGGCTCACGCCTGTAATTCCAGCACTTTGGGAGGCTGAGGCTGGTGGTTCACCTGAGGTCAGGAATTTAAGACTAGCCTGGCCAACATGGTGAAACCCTGTCTCCATTAAAAATACACACACACACACAAATTAGCTTGGCATGGTAGCAGGCACATGTAATTCCAGCTACTAAGGAGGCTGAGGCAAAAGAATCGCTTGAATCCGGGAGGCAGAGGTTGCAGTGAGCCAACATCGCACCACTGCACTTTAGCCTGGGCGATAGAGCAAGACTCCATCTAAAAAAAAAAAAAAAAGAATGACCTTTTAATTATAATATGTATTGCCATATTGCCTTCAACACTGTGGGACTAATTTATGCTTCTAACCGAAGTATATGATAATGCCCATTTCCCCACAATCTCACCAATGTTCTAATGGGCTGTCTGTCCTTTGCTTAACTTCTCATAGGCGCTCCTTGTTTTTTCTGATCTTCAGTACCTTGTCATTTAGATGTTTTGCAAATATCCTTTCTCATGGTCTTTTTATTCTGTTGGGCCTTTTGATAAACAGAAGTTTAGGAATTTAGTCAATTTTATTCATTTATTTGTATTAAAGTTATATTCTTTTACAGTATCTTCTAACAGTTTTAGAATTTTTTTTTGACATTTAAGTTTTCATTCTACCTAGAGCTTTTTTTTGTAAGAGAAGGTTTCCAACTTTACCTTTTCCATCTGGATGCCCAGTTATCCCAGAGCTATTTCTTGAGACTTTCAGTCTTCATTGATGTGCCCTGTCTTTGCTTATATGTATGGATCTGTTTCTTAACACTCTATTCTTTTCCATTGGCCTGTTTATCCTTGGGCTAACACAACACTCTATTAATAGCAGCAACTTTATAATCATTGTTATCTGATAAAGCATGTCCTCTCATCTTGTGCAATAGGATTGCCTTTTCCTACACCTTTTTATTCTATGCATTGTCCTGTGTTCAAAAACAAAAAATATAGCTGTTGAGATTTTTATTGGATTGACCATGTGAACTAATCTGGAGAACACTGACATATTTCCATTACATTTTTTTTCTTTTCTTTCCCCTTAAGGTCAGGAAAGCATCACATATTTCTATTATTGAGTCTTCTAAATGTTAAAATGATCTGTCTCTATTTATTTAGATCTCCTTTAATATACCTATATTTTTTAAGAGGTTTTACACACTGTTGTTAGATTAATTTCCAGCTGCTTCTACTTTGAGATGCTATTATAAATGACTTTTTTAGAGAGATGGGGTCTCACTATGTTACCTAGGCTGGTGTCAAACTCCTGGGCTCAAGCGATGCGCCTGTGTCAGTCTCCCAAAGTGCTGGAATTACAGGCCTGAGCCACCGCACCAACTTTTTTTATTTTTTTGAGATGGAGTCTAGCTCTGTCGCCCTGGCTGGAGTTCAGTGGCATGATCTCAGCTGTTTTTCATTTTCTAATTGTTTGATGGTAGTTTTTATGAATATAGTCCATTTTTTATATTGACCTTATACCCAGCAACCTTGCTAAATAAATTTATTAATTCTAATAGTTTGTAGATTATTTTCAGTTTTTCAGGTATAAAACTGTCCAGAAATAGTTTTATTTCTTTCTTTCAATTGTGTATAACTTTTATTTATGTTTCTTCCCTTATTCTATTGCATAGAACTTCCAGCAGTGCTGACTAGAAGTGTGCCCTGTTCTTGACCTCAAAGGAGAACTTTCAACATTTTGCGTCATGTTTATTCTAGAGTTTTGTAGATCTCCTCTATCAAAATTGGGAAGTTCCATTGTATTTCTAACTTTGCTGAGAACATTTATTAAAAATGGATGGCAAGTGTGGACGCAGGTGGCTCACACCTGTAATCCCAGCAACTTTGGGAGGCTGAGGCAGGAGAATCAGTTGAAGCCAGGAGTTCAAGACCAGCCTGGACAACAAAGCAAGACACTGCCCCTACAAAAAAAGAAAAGAAAAAAAAAAAGAAACCTAGCCAGGCATGGTGGTGCATGCCTGTGATGATCCCAGCTACTTGGGAGGCTGAGGTGGGAGGATAACTTTAGCCCAGGAATTTGAGTCTGCAGTGAGCTGTAATTGTACCAGTGTACTCCGCTGTAGGTGACAGAGTGAGACCCCCATCTCTGAGGGGGTGGAAAAAGAACAGATAGTGGAATTTATCAAATGCCACTTCTGCATTTATTAAGATATTCATGTGATCTTTCTCCTTTAATCTGTTAATGTAGAAAATTATACTGTTTTTACGTATATTGTTTTTAAAATTATAAATAAAAGTCATCCAAATGAGACTTATTTATATACAGATGAGACTGTAGCAAGCCATTCACTTCCATTGGGTCATTTTTTTTTTTTTTTTTTTGCACTTCGTTTTAAGCAATTGAATTTCAATGACAATATAAGCAGGTGTTTATCATGAGTGTGTGCCAGGCTCCTTTCTGAGCACTTTGTGTGTATTATCCCATAAATTATCTCAACACTCAATGAGCTAGCTACTGCCATTCTTGTTGTTCAGCTGAGAAAACTGATTCGGAGAGATACTGAGTGATTTGCCCAGGTCACAGCTGGTAGGTAGCCACGCTAGGATTTACATCTGGTCTATCTTCAAAACATTTGATCTGAAGCCATACCAGTGCGTTTTACTCCATCCACCCATCAGAATCACATGAGAAACAGTCTTATAATACTGTGCCCCAGAGAGTAGCCAGCCAGACTGGTTCTCAGGAATAGTGTACCATCCAAAATACATTTATTAGAAAACAAGAAAGAAGAAAAATAAACAAACCATCCAAGATAAGAAGCCAGAGAAAAGCAGCAAAATAAACCCAATGAAAGTAATGGAAAGTATAAATTTTAAAAAATGATATAGAAGACAATAATTCCCATGAAACTGTAAGATTAACATTCTGGTGTTTAAATTTTGTTTTTTCTTTTTTAGGCATAAAGGCATCACAAGTGGTCACGCTCAGCTACTCTGGTTCCTACAGACTTTCCTCTTTGGGATGGCATCTCTCACCATCTTGACTGCTTACCAACAGAAGCATCAAAACCAAACTTGAGGATGTCCACAAGCTTGCTCTACACATCCTCATCTTTTTTGTGTGTGTTTGTGGGGTAAGGGAGGTGCAGTATTTACTCAGTGATCTTTTCTACTTTCTAGAAAGTGTCTGTCCTTGAAAACTATTTAAGAGCCTCTCATTAGTCATTTTTTCTCTTATATGCTCTGGTTGAGCTTGAATAGACCAGTTGTTGCTTAAGAAAGAAACTGAGAAAGATTTTAGCTTTTCAGTCCTATTTGGCAGAGGACTTCAGCTACCTTCTTATGGACTTTGGCTGTGTTGGTGCCCTCGTGTGCTCTGGGCTAAGCCACATACTAAATTGACTTTTTGGTTTGTATACCCTTGCTCTCGCCTTCTGATGAAAACACCTTACCCTCACCACCACCATCTTTGCTCTCCTTTCCCAAAGCTCTTTCCGCCTTGCTGCACCAGATAAAGTGACACCTCCACCATACGTCAATTCCACACACATTTATTAGGTACCTGTGAGGCAGGATCTTATCCTCTTAAACTTCCACTTCTCACGCTAGAGAGAAAGATAAGAAAGATGAGCAAGTGCCTGGAATGGGGCAGGCTGAGCTGTCACACAGGCACACTGAGAACCCACAGGGGAGACTGCAGAGTGCCTTCCCTGATGCTGCAGCTGGAAGTGATCCTTCCCTCCACCTGGCCCCTGGGACACTCTGCTCTGTAGTGTGCAGTCTGATGGTGCTGCTAGATTGCTTTTTCGCTCAGGGCCACAGCTTAAACAGCTTTACCTTTCCCCTCAGCACCTGTCCCACTACCTTGCACACAGGTACTCTATCCATGTTTATTGAACAAAGGAGGGAAACTGATTTCACTTTCACTTGTTCATTATCATTCCAATTTTTATATGAAAATGGCACAACCCACGTGGGGTACACTCATCTCAAAAGAAAAGCCCAAGACTACCTTTGACTGGTACTACCTTTTTTGTGGGTTCCTTGGTGAGAAACCTTTATCTTTTTCATACTTTTCTATTCTCCATCACTTCTCCAAAAGTGTCTCTTTCCAGCTCTGATTTATTCAAAACACATAAACATTCCTGTTTAGAGATTCTAGTCCACCATGGATTATCCAGCTAGTTAGTACCTCTCCTGTTCACTTGGTTATATTTTATTATTGCTCACAGGTTGGGGAGGCAGAATGACTGTGTCCCTTCACCCTGGCAGAATGACTGTGTCCCCTCACCCTGGCAGAATGACTGTGTCACCACTAGGAGCCATTAGGGCTTCTTCCCAGGAGGACTGCTTGCTTGCTCTTTGGGGACTAGCCCTCATTTCCCTTCCATGGTACAGTGGGGCAAGTGATTTGTATTAGACAAACATTTATAAGAAACAAGCCCCTCCCCAAAAGAGAGTCACCAAGTAAAGCACAAGCCTGAAAGATTATGAACTATGAATTGTCTTTAGTTGACATAAATTTCTGCAAATATATCTCAGTCTTTCCCTCTTTTCTCTGGTGATTAAGAAGTTGGTTTTTGGTAAGGAAAAGGATTTTTGACCATAGAGTTAGGCATCATGGAAATTCAAACCCGATTTCTTAATATCTGGTCTTCTCCGAAGAGAAATAATGATAGTAATAGTGGTGCTGGGAACAATATGGAAGATTATTGAATGAAATGGATTAACTTGAATAAAATGCTGTGAATTATCTCTAGCTGAATGCTTTTCTTGTATTTGTCAGTTTTGATATATTGATGCACATTTGATTCTTTTTCTCAAATAGACTTTACTAAGGAACTGTTTATACACTTCAGATCTCAGTTTGTTTTTCACTGATAAAGAAATGCAAAGCACTGTGGTTGTCGGGTATATATGTATTATATTTGTAGACCTGTCCATGCCCCACTTACCTCCTCCACGTACAGTGAATCACTAGGGTAGACATGAGTGTCTCCTTTTCATTGTAGGATTGTCTCCTTTTTGTTTCTGTTTTTATTCAACATTTGATAAAGTCTATGCACTAAGTATGGAGTGTTCTGGCATTTTTTTAATGCACAAAGCCCAGGATGCATCACTTAACAATGGGGATGCATTCTGAGAAATGCATTATTAGGTGAGTGCATCACTGTGCAGATCTCATAGGGTGTACTCACAAACCTACATGGCAGAGCTGACTACACACTGAGGCTATATGGTACAGTCTGTTGCCCGCAGGCTACAAACCCATACAGCATATAGAGTAGTACTGAATACTGAAGGTAACTGTAACACAATGGTAAGTATTTGTGTACCTAGCTTTTCTTTAGGATGGGATTTAAAAAAAAAAAAGCCAAATAGGCTGGGTACGGTGGCTCACGCCTGTAATCCCAGTACTTTGGGAGGCCAAGGTGGGCGGATCACCTGAAGTCAGGAGTTCAAGACCAGCCTGGCCAACATGGTGAAGCCCTGTCTCTACTAAAAATACAAAAATTAGCTAGGCATGGTGGCAGGTGCCTGTAATCCCAGCTACTTGGGAGACTGAGGCAGGAGAATGGCTTGAACCCGGAAGGTGGAGCTTGCAGTGAGCCAGGATTGGGCCACTTCACTCCAGCCTGTTCAACAGAGCGAGACTCTCTCAAAAAACAAAACAAGCAAAAAATAGCCAAACATAGAAAAGGTACAGTAAAAATGTGGTGTTCTAATCCTATAGAACCAGGGTCATACGTGCTGTGTGTCATTGATCAAAATGTCAATATGCAGGCATGCCTGTATAAAATCCTGTCATCTTATTTGGGGTATTATCATGGCTTAGTTGCAAAGGGGGATCTAGTGAGCAAATGGTGCAGATCATTCCATTCATAGAACCATAAACATCTCAACGAGGTAAAGTAACTTGCCCAGTATCACACAGACAGACATGACTCTGGGCGTCGTGTTGCCCACCTCCCCCATTATCCAGGAGTTTAGTAGTAAGTCTGTGAAGCAACAAATTTAAAAATAGACATCCTGGCTTTGTGTGGTAGTCATGGTGGTGATATGGGAGAAACAGCTTTATGTTGATTTTGGATGAGAAAAGGCCAGAGCCATCTTGGTGGAAGCAACCATGGAAAAAAACCAGGCTAAACTGTTTTCTTACCCACCCCTTAGATTTGCAAAGCACATATAGTTTGGAAAAATAAAAAAGTAAGGACAAAACAAAAAACAAAAAAACAAAAACAAAGCAAAACAAAACAAAAAAAAACCAGACTAATGACCTCAGAACTTAATAGCAGGCCCAATTTATAAACTAACAGTGTTTCCTACATTCAACATGTTTATGATTCCACGCAGTCTAAACATGCTTTAAAGCCACGGTGTTAACATAAGCCTGGGTTAGGTTTAAGAGGTTATATTCCAGATGTGTAAAGAGGCTTTTTAGAAAAACAACTTGCAATCTCAGAAAGCCCTTATATCTTTACACTGAGGGTCTGAGAACATGAAAGAGAAGTCAAAGAACTTGCAACTGAGGTCAGAGAGCACAGTGCAATCACATTTTTATCTTGCTAGGGCCCTTTCTGGAGTCTCATTAATTAAAGCTCTTAGTTTAGCAACCTGGGTTGTGAATATTTTTCCTTCCCTTTCTTGTCAGCACAGTGAAAAAAATGCTAGTAGGGTAGCTGAGTAACACACTTTAAGACAATGGAAACATTCTCTCTGTGAGGCTCCTTGTCCACAACAAATTGTGAATTATGTTTCCATTTTCATCCACGCTGGACAATAGGAGTCTTTAATGTTCACATTTCTCTTCTTGGAGAGGAGATTTGTGCTCTGATCCCACAGTAAGCACTTGAAAATCCTACTCAAAATACTGTATTTGCTACTTCTGCGAAGCATTTTAAGATGGCTTCTAAGCTTTTATAAAGGATTTAAGTACATCAATTGCCTCATTTCTATTTGTAGTAAGTCATTATGTTGGATTAAGGGAAATACTTCTGGTATACAATGAATGCTGTTCAGTCACATAGGTGTGGGAAATGGAAAAGTAATTTTTAAAAGTAAGAAAGAAACAAAAATGCTGTTCAGGGAAATATTCATGAATGAACATTTACTTACTTTTTCCTTGTATTCATACATTGCACAGGATTAAATTGAAGAAATCTTAACATTGTTATAAATGAGAGGAATGGCATCTATAATGTAAGGTAAGGAAGAGTTACCTAAATCTCAAGCACATAGGGGTCACCTCCACAACTTTAATCATGTCTACAATACATCTGAATTTATTATTTATGATTACAAGTATTTTGGTTTTTTTTTTTGTTTGTTTGTTTGTTTTTTTTGAGACTGAGTCTCACTCTGTTTCCTAGGCTAGAGTGCAGTGGTGCAATCTTGGCTCACTGCAATCTCCACCTCCCAGGTTCAGGCGATTCTCCTGCTTCAGCCTCCCAAGTAGCTGGGATTACAGGCACCCACCACCATGCCCGGCTAATTTTTATATTTTTAGTAGAGATGGGTTTTCACCATGTTGGCCAGGCTGGTCTCAAACTCCTGACCTCAAATGATCTGCCGGCCTCAGCCTCCCAAAGTGCTGGGATTACAGGCATGAGCCACTGCACCTGGCCAGAAATTCACTTTTAAAAAAAATTTCCTAAACAAGAATAACTATGAAATTCCAGACTCGGTTTGTTCATTATATTTTTTCTAATACACATGAAAAGAAAGGATAATTATTACCTAAAATCACCATGCATACTGGTGATACATTTGACACACTTAAAAATCAGAAAGTATTACCCTACTAGTTGAGATTGAAGATGGGATTTAACCTGGCTCTAGCCACAGGATTTTAGACAAGTTTGTCACCTTTCCGGACCTTGGTTTCATCATTAAAATAATTGAAATACCACCCCAAACCTGTTAGAACTAACAGACAAATTCAGTAAAGTTGCAAGATGCAAAGTCAAAATGCAAAAATCAGTAGCATTTTCATACACTAACAACAAGTTATCAAAAAAAAAAAAAAAAAGAAAGCAAGCAAGCAATCCCATTTATAGTAGTTAAAAAGAAGTTAAATACCTAGGAGTACATTTAACCAAGGAAGTGAAAGATCTCTACACTGAAAACTCTAAAACATTGATGAAAGGAACTGAAGATGCAAATAAATGGGAAGTCATGCCATGTTCATGTATTGAAAGATTTAACATTGTTTAAATATCCATACTACCCAAAGCAATCTACAGATTCAACACCATCCCCATCATAATTCCAATGATAGAGCAGGGCGCAGTGGCTCACACCTGTAATCCCAGCATTTTGGGAGGCCAAGGCGGGTGGGTCAACTGAGGTCAGGAGTTCAGGACCAGTCTGACCGACATGGAGAAACCCCGTCTCTACTAAAAATACAAAATCAGCCAAGCGTGGTGGCCCATGCCTGTAATCCCAGCTACTCAGGAGGCTGAGGCAGGAGAATCGCTTGAACCCAGGAGGCAGAGGTTGTGGTGAGCCGAGATGGCGCCATTGCACTCCAGCCTGGGCAACAAGAGCGAAACTCCATCTCAAAATAATAATAGTAATAATTCCAACGATATTTTTTCTCAGAAATTAAAAAAAGATCCTAAAATTTGTATGGCACTTTGGGAGGTCGGGGGAGGCGGATCACTTGAGGTCAGGAGTTTGAGACCAACCTGGCCAACATGGTGAAACCCTGTCTGTACTAAAAATACAAAAATTAGCCAGGCATGGTGGTGCCTGCTTGTAATCCCAGCTCCTTGGGAGGCTGAGGCAGGAGAATCACTTGAACCCTGGAGGTGGAGGGAGAGAAAGAAAAGAAAAAGAAGAGAAGAGAAAAGAAGAGAAGAGAGGAGGGAAGGAGGGAGGGTGGAGGGAGGGAAGGAAAGAAGGAGAAAGAAAAAAGAAAGAAGAAAGAAAGAAAAGAAAGCAAGAGAGAAAGAGAGAGACAGAGAAAGAGAAAGAGAAAGGAGGGAAGGAGGAAGGAAGGAAAGAAGGAAGGAAGGAAGGGAGGGAGGGAAAATAAAGCAGAGAAAGAAAGAAACTTTGTAAACTATAACACGTAAAGCACGAGTACAGTTTTCCTGGAAGGTTTGTGATTGACCACATTGCAGCCTGTGCTCCTCATACTTGACCACATGGATGGATAGACCACTTTTGAGTAGCAAAATAGAGAAAATTTAGAACTAGAAATCACATGGTTCAGCCTTGATTTCTGAGGCTTAGCGTTGGTTTCTATATGTACCAACACCGTCAATAAGAAAAACTGCTAGGCACTGTTCCTGGGAGGTTAGTAGTTAATGTCAATAGTATTTGGAGCCATAATACAATCTGGCAAAGAGCGTTGTTCCAGGGCTGAAAATGCTGATGGAATTAGCCAACTGACCTATCCGCATACTCCTCCTTCCCGGAGAAGAAAAATTAGGCATTAGGTCTTTTGAAAGTAAAAAAAACTCAATACTTTTCAAATATTTATTTTGTTCTGGAAACTGATATAAAATATCCAAAATCCACAACTGCTCTTTGAGGTGACCATTATCCCCATTTCAAGTTGAAGATACTATAAAATATTATAAACATGAAGATACTGGCTGGGCACAGTGGCTCACACCTGTAATCCCAGCACTTCAGGAAGCTGAGGCAGGAGGATGGCTTGAGCCCAGGAGTTCAAGAACAGCCTGGGGCAACATGGCCAGACCCAGTCTCTACAAAAAATTAGCCAGGCGTGGTGGCACATGTCTGTGATCTCCGCTACTGGGGAGGCTGAAGTGGGAGGATCACCTGAGCGCAGAGATGTCCAGGCTGCAGTGAGCCGTGATTATGCCACTGCTCTCCAGCATGGGCCACAGAGTGATATCCTGTTTTAAAAAAAAAGGAAAAGAAAAAGACAATAACACACCACCTCATTCATTCATTCTATATAAATACATAAATAAGATACTACATGGTAGAGAATCCCTGCCAAGATCTTCAAAATCAACCCTAAACAGATAGTGGAAGGACAGGAGAGAGACACATGGATTCCTAACACTAAGCAGGGAAATTAGGGAATTTCTCACTACCCTCTCTGAGACTGAAGACTACTGAAATTAGTGTGGGGGTGGAGCCTGGGCATCATGAAGAACTGGTTGGGCAGCCTTTACATTCCGCTCTTGTTCCCTCAAGTTGCCTTCAGAGAGACAGTCATCAGCCTGACTCCTTCAGCATGACAGTTAACAGTGCCCGGAGCACTGTCCACTCATATCAGCAACACAAACTCTGCGGGGGCATGGGAGAGAATTCACAAAAATAGACACAGACAGCCCTCAGGTAGTTCCTTCACCATGCTTCCAACCAAATTGCCAGGACTGTAGATTATCTTATTTCCTCCTAAGGGTTTAAAAGTGAAAACTCCAGCCAAAGGAATGACTAGTGGATTGGCCTCAGACGGGGATTCACTAAGGGGTCTGTGATCCCTGGATTCTCAGTCCTCACATGGCCGGGACCAACACAGATGAGGCTGGCCTTGGCCCCTCCCAGTACATATGACCAAACATTTTCCCAAAGGAAAATGAGCCCACAGCCAAATAACTGGAGGAAAAGTCTACACAAGCAGCATGTATCATCTGATCACATATGTTGAAGCAGAAGGTCCCAAAATCTAATAATGCTCCTTAAATAGGAGACAACAGAAAATGTTAGCAATATGCAGCAAGAACAAGATATCATAAAAAAAACTAAGTGAAAATATTAGGTAGGAAAAATAAAATAGTTAAAACAAAGAATTTGATAAATGGAAATTAATCAAATTTGACAAATGAAATAGAATGGATATAGTTGAAGAAAGAATATATGAACACATGATTGTGGCGGTCTCACAATAAGACTAAAACATAAGAAATAGAGAAGAAAAGCTTGGAAATGTGGATGATAAACATAAAAGTGCGAACACCTGAGCAATAAATTCAGCTGGTGTAAGAAGTAAAAACAGAGTGGAGGAAATACTTGAACAAATAATGGAGATACATTTCCAAAAAAATGACCTTATTTGAAAGGACTTATAAAGAAGAGCTAAGAAGAGATAAGGAAAAATCAATTCCTAGGTACAACTATAAAATTTAAAAATATTAAGTAAAAAAGTAAATAAATAAAAATAATGAGGAGACTGGGCACAGTGGCTTATGCCTGTAATCCCAACACTTTGCAAGGCCAAAGCGGGAGGATCACTTGAGGCCAGGAGTTCGAGACAAGCCTGAACAACATTTTGAGACCCTATCTATCTTTACAAAATATTAACAAAAAAATTAGCTAGTCATGGTGGCACTTGCCTGTAGTCCTAGCTACTGGGGAGGCTCAGGCAGGAGCACCACTTTAGCCCAGGAGGTCAAGGCTGCAGTGAGCTGTGATCATGCACCGCTGCACTCCAACCTGGGCCATAGAGTGAGACCCTCTCTCAAAATAATAATAATAATAATAATAATAATAATAATAATAATAATAATGACAAGGAGAAAGCTCTAAAAGCTTCCAGAGAGAGAACAGATCATCTTCAAACTACATAATAGTTATAAAGTATTAGGAGACAGTAATTTTGAAGGTAGAATTTTATTTATTTATTTATTTATTTATTTATTTATTTATTTATTTATTTTTTGAGACAGAGTCTCGATCTGTTGTCCAGGCTGGAGTGCAGTGATGCAATCTTGGCTCACAGCAACCTCCACCTCCTGGGTTCAAGTGATTCTCATGCCTCAGCCTCCAAGTGGCTGGGATTACAGGCATGCACCACCATGCCTGGTTAACTTTGGTATTTTTAGTAGAGACAGGGTTTTACCATATTGCCCAGGCTGGTCTCGAACCCCTGACCTCAGGTGATCCACCTGCTTCAGCCTCCCAAAGTGCTGGGATTACAGGCGTGAGCCACCATGCCCGGCCTCATTTCACCTCTTGAACTTGGGTTTTCTCTTGAGGCAGTTACACTTGATTTATAACGTTCCTCTCAGCTTTAAAATTCCATAAAATTCCAGAAGCACTATCTACTAGTGAAACAATTTACTGGGAGAAGTAGTGAGTCCCCTGTCACTGGAAGCATTCAAGCAGAGTGAGAATAGCCAGTTGTCTGATACGCTGTAGAGAGAATTCCTACATTAGATAGGAGGTTAATATTTGATTTAAATAATTAAGCCAATAATAAAAAATAGCACTGAGTATGTAATATGTGCCCAGCACTGCTCTAAGCATTTACACACATCTCATTTGATCTTTTCGGTAACTGCATGGGGAGTGGGTACTATCCCCATTGTGCAGAGGCTACTCAGATCAGGGGCAGCACTAACCAGAGAGCTCACAGCTAGAGAGAGATGGAGATTGGAAATCAGATTGCTGTGGCCCCCAGCAAGTCCTAATCACCACCCAATTCTGTCAGCAGCCTCCGGGTTCTGGGATGGGCATGTCTTCCCACTGGCCTGGGATCTGGGTGCAAGGTGACGTGCCTGCCTCCTACCCCTCTCCAGGGCAGGAAATTGAGCATGGAATGCAGACGGCAGGCTTGCCAACAAGGCCACTTTCCCACGGCCTGCAGCAGAAAGAGGCTGCTTTCCGCTGCTTGGGCTGCAAATGCTCTGAGCCCTTCACCGGCAGCCTTATTTTACAGAAGGTGAAAGCTAAAACCTAGAAACGGCAAGCTACCTACCCAACGTCACAGAACAAACAAGTGGCACAGCTGGGAAACATCTGCATGGAGTCCTCACTTCCAGGCCAGTGCTTGATGTTCTGTTATTTTTTTTTATTTATTTATTTTTTGCAAGCTCCGCCTCCCGGGTTCTCGCCATTCTCCTGCCTCAGCCTCCTGAGTAGCTGGGACTACAGGCGCCCGCCACCGCGCCCGACTAATTTTTTGTATTTTTAGTAGAGACGGGTCTCGATCTCCTGACCTCGTGATCCACCCGCCTCGGCCTTCTGTTTTGTTTTTAACTAAATCACATTACTGCAGTCGCTTACATGTGACAGTCCCTCAGTTTTCTGTTCTGAATATATCTCTTTTTAATCAAGGCCTATGCATCAACTACAGCAAATTGGAGATTCCCAAGAGTGGCAATTATTCTAAACGAAACTCTGCCTATGATATTCTAAAAATTCTAATCTAACCTCACCCCTGTGTCACACGAAACTCATCTCTTGTTGGTCCTGAATCCACACTTCTGCTCCTTTGAGGCAAGTTTCCCCACTAACATTGACCCCCAATTACATATTAACCTTTGCCCCAGCTGTCACCCAGCAGAATTCCCTCCGCAGTCCTCTCTGCTTATCTGGCCTGCTGGGAACTCACCATCAGACAGCACTGAGAATTCAACAACTGTTTCTTTCTTTTTTTTTTTTTTTTTCTCAAGATCTGCTTTTAGGAGAAGCAATCATTTCAACACTGCATTACAAATGAACTTATACCTCAGTCAGAAACAAGCAACCCCATTCCCCACATAAGCTATTATTATTATTATTTTTTGGACACGGAGTTTCACTCTGTTACCCAGGCTGGAGTGTAGTAGTGCCATCTTGACTCACTACAACCTCCACCTCCCAGGTTCAAGTGATTCTCCTGCTTCAGCCTCCTGAGTAGCTGGGATTGCAGGGGCCTGCCACCATGCCCGGCTAATTTTTGTATTTTTTAGTAGAGACAGGGTTTCACCATGTTGGCCAGGCTGGTCTTGAACTCCTGACCTCAAGTGATCCACCTACCTTGGCTTGCCAAAGTGTCGGGATTACAGGCATGAGCTACCGCACCTGGCCTTTTTTTTTTTTTTTTTTTTAATGGGCAATATGTACTTTCAGATCACATGTTGGTTGGGGATCATCCTCCCAGATGCACATTCACGTTCTGGAGGATGACACAGTTAGAAACAGGTTTTAGAATCCAGTGTGACCTTGGGCAGATCTTCCATCTGTTCTCAGTCACATTTGTAAAACATAGGCAAAGACTGTGGCGACCTCACAAAGAATGTTTGCTGAAAGGAGAAATGAGTGCTTTCTGGGCCAATTCATTCTCACCCTGTCGAAGTGAGACCCCATGTCTCACTTCATCCTCAAGTGTAGTTGAAGATTGTCATCAACATCATCCCCCTGGCCCGCCGCCTGTTGGCATCAAGGTCACCTGCAGTGGGTCTTCCACACTGAGGGACTGTGCTCTTTGCCATTCAGCTGGGGCCCAAAGCTCTGTTCTCCACAAGTCATAGGGGGATATTAATGGAAATATTGGCAAATCTTACAATGTAGAAATATAAAAAAGCTCTGTGTTAAAACTATTGTAAGCAAACTGAGAAAACAATCATGAAACTGGGAGAAATATGTGCAATCATATCACAGGCAGAGATGAACTTCCCTAATACATAAAGAGCTTCCACTATTCAATAGGAAGAAGCCTACCAACACAAAAATAATAAACAGAAGTAAAGGATATAAACATCTAGGTCACAGAAAAGGAAATACAAACAGTTCTGGACATTTTATTTTATTTTTTTTAATTAAAAATTTGCCAGGCACGATGGCTCATGCCTATAATCCCAGCACTTTGGGAGGCCGAGGCAGGCGGATCATGAGGACAAGAGATCGAGACCAACCTGGCCAATATTGTGGACCCTCGTTTCTACTAAAAACACAAAAATTAGGTGGGTATGGTGGCGGGTGCCTATAATCTCAGTTACTCAGGAGGCCGAGGCAGGACAATCGCTTGAACCCGGGAGCTGGAGGTTGCAGTGAGCCGAGATTGCACCACTGCACTCCCGCCTGGCGATAAAGTGAGACTCTGTCTAAAACAAAACAAAACAAGACAACAACAACAAACAAAAACTAATGAACAAACAAAAAACAAACAAAAAAATACTGTACTAAGGGAACAATTTTCCACCTATCATGTTGAGGAACATATTTAAGAGTTTTATGGCTGGATGCGGTACCTCATGCCTGTAATCCCAGCACTTTGGGAGGCCAAGGCAGGTGCATCATCTGAGTTTGGGAGTTTGAGACCAGCCTGACCAACATGGAGAAACCCCATTTCTACTAAAAATACAAAATTAGCCGGGCATGGTGGCGCATGCCTCTAATCCCAGCTACTCGGGAGGCTGAGACAGGAGAATCACTTGAACCTGGGAGGCAGAGGTTGTGGTGAGCTGAGATTGTGCCATTGCACTCCAGCCTGGGCAACAAGAGTGAAACTCCATCTCAAAAAAAAAAAAAGAGTTTTATGACATGCTTGTTAGAGCTGTGTGAGGAAAAAAGCATTTCTATACACTGAGGATGAGAGGATATATTAAAGTCACTTCTTCTGTAAGGCAATTTGGCATTATCAATCAAAATCACAAATGCACAAACCCTTTGACTCAGGAATACAGATATATTCTGATGCATGCCAAAAATGTATGAACAAGATTTTTCATTGCAAAATTGTTTGTCATCTTCTTATACAGTGTATGAATACAAGAACTCTGGAAATGTACACCCATATTATTGTATAATGCAAGCATACATTTTTATTCTGCTTGTATATTTTTTTCTTAAACTTATACATATTTACTGATAAAATAAGCTAGCATTGCTTTTACATCATGTTTAAATATGTAAACGTCAATCTGTGTTTAACAAAATTGATTTATTGCACTGATGAATTTTATTTCAAAAGTTATCTTTTGGCTGGGCGAGGTCGCTCACACCTGTAATCCCAGCACTGTGGGAGGGCGAGGTAGGTGGGTCACCTGAGGTCAAGAGTTTGAGATCACTGTGACCAATATAATGAAATTCCGTCTTTACTAAAAATTTACAAATTTACAAATTTGCCAGATGTGATCGTGTGGGCCTGTAGTCCCAGCTACTCAGGAGGCTGAGACAGGAGAATCGCTTGAACCTGGGAGGCAGAGGTTGCAGTGATCCGAGATTGTGCCACTGCACTCCAAGCCTGGGCAACGGAGTGAAACTCCATCTCAAAATTAAAAAAAAGTTATCTTTCATGGTATGCCCACTTTAGAATAATTTCAAAGATCTTTAGGTAACTCAAAACCTTGTACAAATTTAATTGATGGATATTTGCTGGGTACATAAATAATTTCTAGGAAAAATGAAAGACTAAAACATGCATTATGAAGCACAATTTAAGTGTATAAACTTTTGCTTCTTTATTTTTATTTATTTATTATTTTTATTTTATTTTATTTTTTATACTTTTTTTTTCCTTTTTGTGGAGATCAGGGTCTTGCTATACTGCCCAGGCAGGTCTTGAACTCCTGGGCTGAAGCTATCCTCCCACCTCTGCCTCCCTAAGAGCTGGGATTACAGGCGTGAGCCACTACACACAGCCAAGATTTAATGTTATGACTGAGGTAAACATGAATGAAAGCAAATCTTCAAAATATCTATGATTTGATCTCATGTATATACATTTGTGTCTGAATATACATTAGATAGATGGGGAATGCATAGATGTGGAACAGGCAGAGCCTAGCAAGCCGAGGGGACTGGACCTGAATCTTGGACAGAGGGAATTCGTAACAGAAAAGACTTTCATGTTTTTCTCTGTATAGTTAATTACTTTATGCTCGACCACAACAAGAATGTATTGTATATGTTTTTGTGTTTTTTTTTCCCTTAATCTTAAATTCAAAATATAAGGTAGCCTCCTGGCTGTGAGCTACAAGAATCCTTATGGGTTTGGCAGTTCTTTGACAACTTCTCACCTGGCTAAATTATCAAGGAATGTCCTACCACCAAGCATGAGAAATTCTTGGCATTCCTGAAATAAATTCTTCTTCTGAGCCAGCTCACGTAGGCATCATAATCTCCTTGAAGGCTTTAAAAAGATTTAGATCTGAGTCTGTCTCAGATTCTCGGGCTCAGAACCAGAATTTCTTCATCTGAGGCTATTATCTTGCTCTGGAGGAGGGAGTGAGAACTGGATCACTGGTTACGGTGGTGACTGGGACAACAGCACAGCCACAGACAGGAACACAGAAGGCAGAGGCAGCCTTGATCTGCAAGGGCTCCAGTTAACCCCAATGGGGACCCTCGATGGACAAAGGCACTCTCCTAGGCTTGGTGATGAAAGTATTCCTCTTACAGCCAGGCAAGGCACTCAGGGCTCTGCAGCAGAGAAGTTAGAGCTGTAGCTTTTTTGCTTGGTGTTTTCACTAAAACTTAATTTCTTGTTGCACTTGTTGGATGGGCATGTCCCATAGGGGAAGTTTCCACTACTGTGTTCTAAACTTTGGACTGCTTGTACCATCTTACTTGTTCCCTCATTAATAATGAACTAAATAAAACCTTTAGTATATGCTAATTTCATATCTTTACGAGAGTCATGACTTTACCTTTTTGTTTTGAAAAGTACCTTTTCACATTGCTATCACTTCCTTACCAGAGCAGTGAGTGTCTGGGTCTCCCTCTTAGGGGCAGACACTGTTCCATGTAATTAGAATTAATTTCTTGTTCTTGGTAGGCAGAGAAAACCTTCCACACTCCCAGGAGACAAGGGTTCAGATCTTGTGCCATGGCTGAGAGTGATGCTGAGGAAGACACTTCTCTCTAGTCTCAGTTCGCCTGCCTGTGAAATGGGCTCATAACAAACTCCTGATCCCAGGCTCAGTCGCCTTGAGCCCATGACCTCACCCAACCCCTCCATCCAACTCAACTCGGGGGGCGGCCCCCTTTCCTCCGAAGGCGCCCGGGTGGCAAGTCGGTGCCTCAGCTCCCGGGGGTTTCTGGGTTCTGCGCTGCCCACGGGGTGCCCAGGGGCCTCTGGAGGGGGCGGGTTCTCTCCAGCCAGAAAGCCCGGAGCCGCCCAGGAATTTTGGCTCGGACTGAGAGCATTGTCTCCAGGGCCTGCCGGGCACGATCCGGGAAGGGCGGCTGCGGGCACATGCCGTGCTGCTTTCAGCCAGGCCGGCACCATGCGGCCCCTGCTCTGCGCGCTGGCCGGGCTGGCCCTGCTCTGCTCCGCGGGCGCTTTGGCCGGTGATTGGGGCGCGGGGCAATGCAGGGGACACGGAGCCGGGGAGATCCCCAGATGGCGAGGAAGGAATGAGCGAGAGAGAGAGCTGGACACAGCAGCGAGATGGAGAGAGGGGCAGATACAGGGAGGGACGGATGGAGAGAGAGATGGTGAGAGGAAACAGACTCAGAAAAAGGCAGAGAAGTAGAGCAACGGAGAGATAAAGGAGAGAGGGAAGAATAAACAGTGAAAAGGAAAAAAGGAGAGGCCGAGACAGAAAGAGGCTTTCCCTGAACAGATATGAACCAAGATAGAAAGAAAAAAGAGTTTGAGAGACAAAAGAGAAGAAGGAAAGAGAAAGACTGACTAAAATGGCAAGGGGTGGAGGGAGAGAGGATAAGAAAAGAGAAAGATTTGAGAGAGACCAAAAAAGAGAGAGAGAGGGAAGCTCGATGCCTGGAGTAGAGCTGGCAAGAGAGAAGGAGCCAGGATCTGGGGTGGGAGGTCACAGCTGCTGGGTCGGGCAGCCCCGGAGGCCAGCTCCATCTCAGAGGGCCTGCGGAGGCTCAGCCCTGGCTTTATAGGACATTGCTTAAGAAGCCAGACTCCAAAGGGTGAGTGACCCAGGCCAGCCCAGCACAGCCTTAAGAAGCCAGGCAGGCGAGTCCAGGAGAAAGGCCACCGACTCACCTGCCACGTGGCCTCAGGTGGTTCTGCAGTTGGTGAAGAAGTCAGCCTCCTGGTTTCCAGGGAGCTTCTCTGGGGAACTGAGCTGTTTGGGGTAGAGACGGGGGACTGGATGGAGATGGAGAGCTGTGCGGGAGGGAGAGGCTGTCTGGGTACTCCATTAGCTGGGTTCCTTGCCTTTCGCTGTCCCCTTTCTTCCCCCCACCTCCCCCCTCAGCTTAATGTTGCCCCTTCACAGGTGAGGCTCAGACGGGGTGACTCATGTCAAGTGACTTACTAGACTGCAGTCTGGGGCGGTACACAGATGCTCATTCCACCACCCTGCACATTGCATAGGACTTTACAGTTTACAAGCCACAACCCCACCTAGCCACGGATGGCTATTGCTCATTCCAGTTGCCCAGGTGAGGGAAAAGCTCAGATCTCATGGTGGTGCCAAGGCAGAGCCCTCACAAAGCATCCAGGCCTCCTGCCCCCCCAGTCGTTGCCACGACCTTGGCAGAAGTGCCCTGTGCTAAGATAGAAGCCCCTAGCGCCTTTCAGGGCCCTCTGAACTGTGGGATTAAGCACTTGGGGAAAGGATCCAGACCAGCCCTCAGGATCCCCTGCCTTGGTTGAGTCCCTTTCCCTCTCTGGTGCTGTTTCTTCCTCTATAAATTGGGGAGAATGATACCCACCCCACAGGGCTGGCCTCAGGGATTAGATGAGAGAGGAAGTGCCCAGCAGGGAACATGCATCAACGCACATTCTCTCAGATGACTCCACTGATCTCTCTGAGCCTCAGTTTACTCACCTGTTAAAGATGACCACCAAAGGCTTCCTCACAAGCTGCATGAGGAGTGGCTGGGACTCTGCCCAGCGTAGAATACAGGCCCCAGTACACACCCTCCCATCCCCCTCTCCTTTAGTCCCTCCCAGCTCAGCCCCAGGATCCAGGAGCTAAAGGCACAAAGCAGCACCTGTGTTTCTCCCGGAGGGAGGAGGGAGCATCCTGCCCACAAGTGGCTACTTTTGGTGCCCCTTTTAGCCACAACTTGTACAGAGACTTTAAACCCACTTTTAAACATTATTTTTCTTTCTGATTATGCATGCTCATTGCTACAGAAAAAGAAGAAAATGAGTTTGGGAGGCCGAGGCGGGCAGATCACGAGGTCAAGAGATCAAGATCAGCCTGGCTAACACGGTGAAACACTGTCTCTACTAAAAATACAAAAAATTAGCTGGGCCTGGTGGCACAAGCCTGTAGTCTCAGCTACTTGGGAGGCTGAGGCAGGAGAATCACTTGAACCTGGGAGGCGGAGCTTGCAGTGAGCCGAGATCAAGCCACCACATTCCAGCCTGGGTGATAAAGCAAGACTCCGTTTAAAAAAAAAAAGAAGAAGAAGAAAAGGAGGAAAGTATTCATGTGTTAGTGTAATTTCACATTGACTTCCTACATTTTTGTGCATATTCTTTCAGATTTTAGAATTAACTTTTGATTATGAAAACTTAACTTTTGATTATGAAAACTATTGGATACAAAAAATACAAAATAATAGTATATGAAAGAATGATATAATGTACTATTAACCCTGCTTCAACAAGTATCAGTTCATGGGCAGTTTTATCTCATCTATAGTCTCCACCCTTTCTCCCCTCCCTGGATTATTTTAAAGGAAATCCAGGCATTGTATATTTTCTTTTTTTTTTTTTTTTGAGACAGGGTCTCATTCTGTCACCCATGCTAGAATGCAGTGGCGCAATCTCAGCTCACTGCAACCTCCGCCTCCTGGGTTCAAGTGATTCTTCTGACTCAGCCTCCCCAGTAGCTGGGACTACAGGCACGTGCCACCACACCTGACTAATTTTGGTATTTTTAGTAGAGACAGGGTTTCACCATGTTGGCCAGGCTGGTCTCGAACTCCTGGGCTCAAGCGATCCACCTCCCTCGGCCTCCTAGTGTGCTGGGATTATAGGTGTGCACCACCATGCCTGGCTAATTTTTGCATTTTTTAGTAGACACAGGGGCAGGGCGGTTTCGCCATGTTGGCCAGGCTGGTCTTGAACTCCTGACATCAAGTGATCAGCCTGCCTTGGCCTCCCAAAGTGCTGGGATTACAGGCATGAGCCACCACACTGGGCCCCAGTCTTGGTTTCTTTTAGCAGCACTCAGAGAAACCTTTATCCCTGATGGCTTTTTAGACCATGAGCCACCGCACCTGGCCCTTTTTTTTTTTTTTTTTTTTTTTTTGAGAAGGAGTCTCGTTCTGTTGCCCAGGCTGGAGTGCAGCAGTGCGATCTTGGCTCACTGCAAGCTCCACCCCCGGGTTCACGCCATTCTCCTGCCTCAGCCTCCCGAGTAGCTGGGACTACAGACGCCCGCCACCATGCCCAGATATATATATATATATATATATATATATATATATATATAGTATTTTTAGTAGAGACGGAGTTTTACTGTGTTAGCCAGGATGGTCTGGATCTCCTGACCTTGTGATCTGCCCACCTCGGCCTCCCAAAGTGCTGGGATGTATACGATGTATTTTTATTAACTATAGTCATATGCTCTACCTTAGATCTCTAGAACTTACAGCTGAAAGTTTCTACCCTTAGACGAACAACTTCCCATTTCCCCCGCTCCCTGCCCTCTGGTAACCACCCTTCCACTCTGTTTCTGTGAATTCTACTTTTTCAGGTTCCACAGAGAAGTGAGATCACATGATATTTGTCTTTCTGTGTCTGATTTATTTCACTTAGCATATGTCCTCCAGGTTCATCCACATTGTCATAAACGGCAGGATTTCCTTCTTTTGAAGGTTGAATAGCATTCCACTGCATATATATACCACATTTTATTCATCCATTCATCCATCTATAGACACTTAGTTTGCTTCCATATATGTATTTGTTTTGAGACAGAGTTTTGCTTTTGTTGCCTAGGCTGGAGTGCAATGACGCCATCTCGGCTCACTGCAACCTCCGCCTCCCAGGTTCAAGCTATTCTCCTGCCTTAGCCTCCCAAGTAGCTGGGATTACAGGCACGTGCCACCACACCGGGCTAATTTTGTATTTTTAGTAGAGATGGCGTTTTCTCCATGATGGCCAGGCTGGTCTCGAACTCCCGACCTCAGGTGATCCGCCCACCTCGGCCTCCCAAAGTGCTGGGATTACAGGCATGAGCCACCGTGCCTGGCACTCATCAATGTTCTTAATGGAATCTAGAATGGTGACTCCTTTCCACAAGGCTTTCCATTTACTTTGCACAGGTCCATCAGAAGAATCACTATCTGTGGCAGCTTTAGCCTTATAAAATGTATTTCTTAACTAATAAGACTTGAAAGTCAAAACCACTCCTTGAACCATGGGCTTCAGAATGGATGTTGTATTGGCAGGCATGAAAACAATATTCCTCCCCTTGTACACCTCCATTAGAGCTCTTGAGGAACCAGGTGCGTTGTCAAAAAGAAATAATAATTTTGAAAGAATTCTTTTTTTTCTGAGCAGTGTGTCTCCACAGTGGGCTTAAAATATTCAGCAAAACACACTGTAAACAGATGTCTTCCAGGCTTTGTTGTTAAATTGACAGAGCACAAGCAGAGTAGACTGAACGTAATTCTTAAGGGCTCTAGCATTTCTGGGATGATAAACAAACAACAGCTTTAATTTAAAGTCACCAGCTGTGTTAGCCCCTGAGAAGAGTCAGCTGTCCTTCGAAGCTCTGAAGCCAGGCAGTGACTTCTCTCTAGGAGGGATGTCCTAAATGGCATCTTCTTCCACCAAAAAGCTGTTTCTTCTACATTGAACATCTGTTGCTTAGTGGAGCCACCTTTATCAATGATCTTAGCTAGATCTTCTGGATAACTTGTTGCAACTTCTACATCAGCACTTGCTGCTTCACCTTGCACTTTTTTTTTTGTTTTGTTTTTGAGACAAAGTCTCACTCTGTCCCCCAAGCTGGAGTGCAGTGGTGTGATCTCAACTCACTGCACCTCCGCCTCCCAGATTCCGGTGATTCTCCTGCCTCAGCCTCCCGAGTAGCTAGGATTACAGGCATGCCACTACGCCCAGTTTATTTATTTATTTATTTATTTATTTATTTATTTATTTATTATTATTATTTCTTGAGACAGAGTCTTGCTCTGTTGCCCAGGCTGGAGTGCAATGGTGCAATCTCGGCTCACTGCAACCTTTGCTTCCCAATTCAAGCGATTCAACTGTCTCTGCCTCCTGAGTAGCTGGGATTACAGGCACGTGCCACTGTGCCCGGCTAATTTTTGTATTTTTAGTAGAGACGGGGTTTCACCACAGTGCCCAGGCTGGTCTTGAACTCCTGACCTCAGGTGATCCACCTGCCTCAGCCTCCCAAAGTGCTGGGATTACAGGTGTGAGACACCGTGCCTGGCCCAATTTTTGTATTTTTAATAGAGACGGGGTTTCACCATGTTGGCCAGGCTGGTCTCGAGCTCTCAACCTTGTGATCCACCTGCCTCGGCCTCCTAAAGTGCTGGGATTATAGGCGTGAGCCACCGCGCCCGGCCAACCTTGCATTTTCATATTATAGAGATGACTTCTTTCCTTAAACCCCATGAACTAACAACCTCTGTTAGCTTCAAACTTTTCTTCAGCAGCTTCCTCACCTCCCTCAGCTTTCACAGAACTAAAGTGAGCTAGGGGCTTGCCCTGGATTAGGCTTTGCCTTAAGGGGATGTTGTGGGTGATTTGATGTTCTAACCAGCACTAAAACTTTTTCCACATCAGCAACAAGGCTGTTTTGCATTCTTATCATTTGTGTATTCACTGGAGAAGCACTTTTAATTTCCTTCAAGAACTTTTCCTTTGCTTTCACAACTTGGCTAATGGGCACAAGAGGCCTAGCTTTCAGCCTAGGTCGGTTTTCGTTATGCTTTCTGCACTAAAGGTAGCTGTTTCTGACTTTTGATTGAAAGTGAGAATCATGCAGTTCTTCTTTCCACCTGAACATGTATAGGGCACTGCATGGTTATTAATTAGCCTAATTTCAATATTGTTGTGTATCAGGTAATAGAGAGGCCTGAGAAGAAGGAGCGAGCTGGGAATGGATGGTGGACAATGCAGTCAGAACACACATAACTGGCAGGGTGCAGTGGCTCATGCCTATAATCCAGCACTTTGGGAGGCCGAGGTGGGAGGATTGCTTGAGTCCAGGAGTTGGAGACTAGCTTGGGCAATATAATGAGACCTCGTCTCTACAAAAAATTTACAAATTAGCTGAGTGTGGTGGCACATGCCTGCTGTAGTTATTCGGGAGGCTGAGGTGGGAGGATCGCTTGAGCCCGGAAGGTGAAGGTTGCAGTGAGCTGAGATCATGCCACCGCACTCCAACCTGGGTGACAGAGAAAGACTCTGTCTCAAAACAAAACAAAACGAAACAAAACAAAAAGACACATAGACAACATTAAGTTCACCCTCTTATATCAATGAACTTGTAAACAATTACAATAGCAACATTAAGGATCACTGATCACTATAACATGATAATGAAAACATCTAAAATATTGTGAGAATCAGCGAAACGTAATGCAGAGACAGAAAGTGAGCATATGCTGTTAGAAACACGGCACCGCAAGACTTGCTTGACACAGGGTTGCCGCAAACATTCAATAGGTAAAAAACAATATCTGCAAAGTGCAATAAAGCAAAAACACTATAAAACTTAGTGGGCCCGTACATGAGACTTCTCTGCATTATTTCTTTTTTTTCTTTGTAGAGATGGCGTCTCTCTGTCATCCAGGCTGGAATGCAGTGGCACCATCACAGCTCACTGCATCTTTCAACTCCTGAGCTTCAAGGGATCCTCCTGCCTCAGCCTCCCAAGTAACTGGAGTCACAGGCATGGGCCACCACACCGCGCCCAGCCTGTCTTTTCATTCTTAACAGTGTCTCTGGCACAGCAGACATGTTTCACTTTAATGAGGTCCATCTTGTCCATTTTTTCTTTCGTAGATGGTGTTTTTGTGTTGCATCTAGAAACTCATTGCCAAACCCAAGGTCACCTAGATTTTCTCCTATGTTATTAAACTTACAGAAGTTTGCTAGTTTTGTGTTACATTTAGGTCTATGGTCTGTTTTGTGTTAATTGTTGGGAAAGGTGTAAGGTCAGTGTTTATATTCATTATTCCACATGTGGATGTCTAGTTGTTTCCAGCACTATTTATTGTAAAGACAATCTTTTCTCCATTAAATTGCGTTTGCTCCTCTGCCAAAGATGAGTGGCCTCTATTTGTATGGGTCTATTTCTGGGGTGCTTATTTTGTTCCATTGATCTATTTACCTATTCTTTTGCCAGTACTTCACTGTCTTAATACATACAGAAGACAACATAAACAAAGTAGGAAGTCAACTATAAATGAGAACAAAGTACTTGCATTTTTCCCCCAAAGTATTTTAACCAAACATTTTGCAAAAAATCAAAATGCAAAAATATAAGAATGTCAACAAATTTGCTCAACTATAACAGAAAAAGAAAGCTTACAAGAGAATGTAGAGCTCAGAGTTTCTATTTACTGTTCATTAGATAAATGGTTTAAATGGACTGAAAACCCTGAAAAACTGCTCAAATTATAAAGAATCTATGAAATACTATGGAAGCATTTTCTAACCTGTTTCTGAAACCTCTGAAAAAAACTCATCATGTATCAATACAAGCTAACTTGCTTTACAGAAATAAAAGGAAAACTATACATTTCATTACATGTATACATGTGTCTTTCACATACTTGTAACTCAGAAAACCATGCTTTCACAAATATAATAATAGAAATACCATAATATTAGCAATCATAACATTCGTGAAACTATAAAGAAAAAACTGGCCAGATGCTGTCTCTTACACCCTAGAACCCAGGTTCTGGTCAGGGCTTCTCTTGGTTGTATGAATTCACCTCATGGAACTGTCGTAAGACTCAAAAGAGATAGTGTAAACAAAAGCATCCTATAAACTGTATTAGCCTGTAGATATGTGGTTCATGTAAATCCAGGCACTTTAATGACTGACAGCTGCCCCGGCAGAACCGCTTGTCTCGGTTCTTTTTTTTTTTTTTTTTTTTTTTTTTTTTTTTTTTTTTTTTTTACAGGGAATCTAAAGAATTCTTTTATTCTGTTAAACAGAATAAAAAGGAAAAAAGAATACAGACATCACAGTGATGAACTTTCACAAAGCTAACAGATTTGAACTACAGAGCAATGGAATATTCATAAGCAAGATGTCATGGTATTAATGACCAAATGGCATCCAACTAGGTTTTCTAAGCTCAAAAACATTTAAAATCTCAGACTTAAAATTCAAATCTAGACATGACAATTGTAAGCACACCACTCAGTCATTTAAAACTATGCAGTGAGTGCTACTCCTGATTAAATATTTTTTTCTTGTTATTTTTTTCTCCCAAGATTTAGAATGTCACATCTCATGTTCTTACTAGTAATCACACACAGGATTAAAAGCCCAACCAAACAAGAAAGTATTCTTTTTATAATGTGTTCTTAAAAGAAGAAAGAAAAATTAAATGTGAACATTTTGTACAACAGTTGCTGAAGAACAGCAACACCAATTCTGAAATATCATGTGGACTATACAAAAAGGCACGGCTCATGGAACCAAGTATGTAATGCTACAGCATTTGAACATCAGTCTCCAAAAGTTGGTGATATTACATCCTGTACACAGCTCTGTGTCTCTCTACCCGGCTAGCGCATGCCCAGGATCTGTCTGCTTTTTAGTTGATAATTTTTCTCAAAATCTGACAGGGCTTGAGCCCGCAGCTGGGCAGCATGAAGCATGAAGCAAGGACCTTCAGGTCCTTGCACTTGGACTTAGATGTGAGCTGACTCTCAGAATTCTCACTCCTCATGACATTCTCTTTACTTTCCCCACTGAAATGAACTTTCTTCTTAATTACTGAGGATGGAAGATTAAGAAGTTCTGGACTACTTGCCAGAGACAGGAACTTCTGTTCCTTTAGCAAGCTGTAATTCTTCAACAGATTTTCTGGTATAGCCAGTCTGTCCTCTGCTAGTCTCTCACAAACACAAAGCTCCTGTTCTTTCTGCTCCAACCTTTCTTCTCCTGCTTTGAGAGCTCGCTCTTGCTCCTCTAACTGAATTTCCTTTAGTTTCAGCTCACTCAATACAAGGCTGGAATCCGGCAATTTTTCTGGCTCTCCTAATTGTCGCCCTCTTCTCTCAAGATTTCTTCTTTGCTCTTCTGCAACCAAATCTGCTATTAAAGGGTTCTCGAGAATTTCTTCAACAGAAGGTCGATGGTAATCCTTTAACATCCTCATAATAATTTCATTCAATTCATCAGAGTAATGGTATAGAATTCGCCTGAATTTGCCTTCTCTGATTTTCCCAGCGAGTTCTTTCTGGCTAAAAGCTGTAAATGGAGGCATTAATGCACGCGACTCATACGGCAAGCAGCCCAATGACCAGATATCTGGTTTCTCATTGTAGGACATGTGATTCGTTTGTTCAGGAGACATGTAATAAGGTATGCCAACAAATGTTTTTGCAAAACTCGTGTCGTGGTTTAATATTCTGGCTAGCCCCAAATCTCCAAGCTTGACGTTTTGCTTGCCATCCAGGAAAACACTGGCTGGTTTCAGACCCCGACGCACTACAGTATGATCACCACCACTTCGTCTGTGGCATTACTTCAGGGCCAGAGTCAACTGAGTCGTCACTCGAAGAACAAACTCTTCATCTAAGTATTGCCTTTCCTTGGTTCCCTTTGTAATTACACTAGCCAGGTCTCCTTCTTCACAATATTCCATTACAATGTACAGTGTTGTGTTGGTCCGGTCAATAATACGATCATAGTAATGAACGATGTTTGGATTTTTCAGTTTACAAAGCAAATTCACTTCAGAAATAAGCATCTGTTTCTCAGCTTCTGTCATGAAGCCATAATCAAGTTCTTTCCAAGCTAGTATCTTGCCGTCACTCTTCCTCTGGATCTTCTGGCAGCGGCCAGAGGAGCCTGTGCCAATGGTGTCCAACACTTCATAGTTCTCAGCCCGGGACGGCATGGCCAGCCAGTCGCCAGAGTCACGCTGCCTCACGCAAGTTGTGCCCCCAAGTGCAGAGCTCCAGGGACCGGGAGCTCCAGGGACCTGGATGGAGAAGCCCCCGAGCAGCACTGACCTGCCACCCCTGCCTTCGGCCCCATTTCTCTCTCGATTCTTAAACAACTTATATTTCCAAGTCCAGTTCAAAAGTTGTATTCTTGGAAGCCTCCGCATCCCACCTGTCCATCCAGGCAGAACTAATCCATCTACACTCTAGTATTATGCTCTCATAACTCTTGGCTCTTCACCAATTCATTCAAGGGTATAATGAGCATTTAAAATATGTCAGGCATCAGGCTATGCACTGGAGAAAAAAATCCTAAATGTGTAAAACTTCCAAAGTTTTCTCACATACATTATCTCATTTCATACTTTAAAAAAATATCCCATAGGATGATAATTTTTTGTTAACAATTTCTCCTACCAGAATGAATTCCCAGGGGGTAGAAACTAAGTGTGATTCGTCCTTGACTCCCTAGAGTCTAGTGCAGTGCCTAGCACACCGAAGACACTCATTAAATGCTTGATAAAGGAGTAACAGACACTTGTTTAATTACTAAAATATCAATCAGGGTTAACACTGAAATAATCTTTCCACAAAGTTTCCACAGGGGAAAGGGGAAAATACATTATATGAACACATCTGTGGAGCGAAAATTCCTCCCTACGACAGAGCATCTCCAACTCAAGTTTAACTGTTTAACAAAGCCATGTAGCAACTGAAGATGGATTTGATTTCACTATTAAGAGTAATAAGCTCTAACTGAAGAACAGTGAGTTCTGCATAAAAGCTCCTGTGCAGATCATTCTGCTTGGTAAAACTGGACGTTATTGCACAAACATTAAAATAAACATTTAAACTTGGCCGGGCGTGGGTGGCTCACGCCTATAATCACAGCATTTTGGGAAGCTGAGGCGGGTGGATCACGAGGTCAGGAGATCAAGACCATCCTGGCTAACACGGTGAAACCCTGTCTCTACTAAAAATACAAAGAATTAGCTGGAAGTGGTGGCACGTGCCTGTAGTCCCAGCTACTCGGGAGGCTGAGGCAGGAGAATCACTTGAACCCGGGAGGCAGAGGTTGCAGTGAGCCGAGATCGTGCCACTGCACTCCAGCCTGGTGACAGAACGAGACTCTGTCTCAAAAAAAAAAAAAAAAGATTAAAAAAAGTTAAATTGACAGACTATATAAATGGGTTTATCATCCTTTTCTCCTTTAGTATTTACTTTTCTTAATCTCACATCATGTTCTGCTTTACATAAAAAAGCCTCACAGTTTACAAAGCCCTTTCCCTTATATGGTCTTAGCAATCCTGTAGATACCATCAAAAGCATCTTGGAGAGGTAGTGCAGTACTGGAGAAGCAACACAATGAGAAGACCTGGGCTTGAATCTTAGCTTTTACTAGCTGTATGACCTTAGGGATATGTAGCTAAAACTGCAGAAGAAATAAAAATGAATATGTGTCTAAAATTATAGAAGAAATAAAAAATGAAAACATTTTTAATGTTTTTAAAAAGCCTACAACTTTGGATCACACAAATGACCAAGCTGATGAACCTTAAAAATTCAAAATATCGGCTGGGTGTGGTGGCTCTTGCCTGTAATCCCAGGACTTTGGGATTCACCTGGCTAACGTGGTGAAACCCCATTTCTACTAAAAATACAAAAAATTAGCCAGGCGTGGTGGCACATGCCTGTAATCTCACTTACTTGGGAGGCTGAGGCAGGAGAATCTATTGAACCTGGCAGGTGGAGGTTGCAGTGACCCGAGATTGCGCCACTGCACTCTAGCTTGGGCAACAACATTTTTTCTGGCAGCCGTAATCCCATGCCTCAGCTTCTTGAGTGGCTGAGATTATAGACGTGCGCCCCCACGCCCTACTATTTTTTATTTTTAGTAGAGATGGGGTTTTGCCATGTTCCAGGCTGGTCTCGAACTCCTGACCTCAAGTGATCCACCCGCTTTGGCCTCCCAAAGTGCTGGGAGCCACCATGCCTGGCTAATCCCACTTTCTGACTTTGGCCACTGCACTGAGGGGGATATTCTGGCAGTGTCGTTATCACTGGGGAAACGAAGGCCAGGGAGCATTGCCTTATGGGCTGTGACTGTTTCTTCAGCTGCTTTTACATAAGCTTTGACAGCCTGCCCCCTCAGCAGGAAGGACAGGGATGGCTGTCACCGGCAGGCCCAGGCCCAGCCCCTCAGCCAGGTAGGATGCCCGGAGGATGCCAGGCAGCACTGGCTCCCCAGCCTGGGGCTCACCGCTCTCATCCAGGTCCTCCAGGCGCACTGTCTGGTGGGGCACGGGGCCATCCACAACTCGCTCCAGGATGCCTTGGACCAGGGCTGGCTGGTTGCCTGGGCAAACCCTGAGGTGCTCCCCACCGCAGGTAGTTCAGGCCTTGGCTGTCCTCACAGGAGAGTTCCACCAGGATGGTGATGTGGCTTGGGAAGGAAAAAGAAGCCTCAGGTGGGCTGGGCCCTGTGGCTCACGCCTATAATCCAAGCACTTTGGGAGGCTGAGGTGAGCGGATCACCTGAGGTCAGGAGTTCAAGACCAGTCTAAGCAACATGGTGAAAACCTGTCTCTGCTAAAAATTACAAAAAATTAGCTGGGTGTGGTGGTGGCTGTAATCCCAGCTACTCGGCAGGCTGAGGCACATACTGGACATAGGGACACCAGAAATCAACTGGCTGGCCAGCACCTAACATTAAAGGTCCTGCCAAGCAGAGATATTTTTTAGCTGAATCATATTTTCTTTCTGGAATTTTAGACATGCAAGTACTGAGATAATGAAGGGACTACTATCTGGGGCAAAAGCTGAAAGGATACAGAAAGATGAAAATCATGAGGAGGAGCTGAACACAAAACCAAGAGACAGTCAAAGAGTGTAGCCAGTTCCAGAACCCACAGCCATCTAGTTCTCTCTATATCTGGGTAGGCTCTGCTCTAATTCATGCTTTTCCTAAGATCCTTAAGAAAATACAAATGACTGCTTTGCAATAAAAGCCTAACTGGAACAACTTAAATTGATCGCCCAGGCTCTCACAGGTAAACTCAAGATTTGGTGACTAACAATGAGGAAGATAAAAGAAATAAGAGGAGGGGGGAAGGGGGAGGGATAGCATTAGGAGATATACCTAATGCTAAATGACGAGTTAATGGGTGCAGCACACCAACATGGCACACGTATACATATGTAACAAATCTGCACGTTGTGCACATGTACCCTAAAACTTAAAGTATAATAATAATAATTAAAAAAGAGACTCCCACACCACTTGTGCATCCCAATCAGAAGCCTGATACCCATCCCCACATGGACAGCTGCACAGGCCCTTGGGCTCCACGTGCTTGTGAACACACATGTACTCTCAAGTAAGGACACGGGTTCTTGTGCATCAAGTGGTATGTGGACAGGCCCCTTTGCCCATCACTGGGTATTTCTGGCAGTTTCCTGTTGTTATTCTCTTTGATCTTGTAATGGGTTTTGGGACCCCCACTTCTCCAGTCCCAGGGCTCAGAAGCCCACCAGGCTTTCCGATGCTCTCACTAAGTGTTGGCTTCTTGAGCAAGAAGGGCTAGGTCAGGGGGTGGGGTCTGGTTTTACTCATCTCTGAGTCTAGCCTCTAACCCACTGCTTAACGCAGAAAAGGTACCTGGTGAAAATCTATTAAAATCAATGACTGATTTCGCCCAATTTGGAGTGAGACATTCCTGCACAGTCTCAATGTCTGGAGAGCTTTACAAACCCCAGGGGACACCAGGAAAAAAAAAAAGAAATAAGAGGAAAGAATTTAAAATGATTAGGGTTTCTAGATGGGGAACTAGAAGAGATGATGATGCTACTGAGAAAGAGAAATATGGTGTGAAGAGGAGGTTGATTGGAAGAGATACTGAATTAAGTTTTGGACATTTCAAGTCTGAAACGTCTGCGGACTATCTATGAGGAGATTGGAAAATCCGCAATTCAAAAAGCATCACTTAATACATGGTAGTCTAAGCCGCAGAAACAGAGGAGTATCAAAAGACAAGTCAAACCCAAGTGCTCTTTGACAAAGCTGATGGCATATAGACAGACAAGACCTTCATAATGGAGTAAATGGATGCTCTGCCCTGATGTACTGTGTACTCATCTGTCCTGGAGCTAGGCTTCCCACCAGGCGAAAATGAAGGCCAGGAGGAGCTCCAGTAGGTCTAAGTAAGAAGCTAAAAGGACTGAAAATCTGAAACTGACAGTGCCATATCCCCCAGAAAGAGAAAGAAAGAAAAAAAGAAAATCTCAAATTTACTCCTTACACAACTTTATAGGTCACAAAACACTTTATAGGAGAGGTGGACAGTTTTCATAAGCACACACCCCAGCTTTAACATATGAAGCAACAGATTTGGAAAAATAAACTTATCTAAGATTATGCAGCTAAAGCCAGGTGTGGTGGCTCACACCTGTAATCCCAGCACTTTGAGAAGCTGAGGCAGGCAGATCACCTGAGGTCAGGAGTTCGAGACCAGCCTGGCCAACGTGGTGAAACCCCGTCTCTACTAATAATGTAAAATTAGCTGGATGTGGTGGTGCATGCCTGTAATCCCAGCTACTCAGGAGGCTGAGGCAGGAGAATCACTTGAACCCAGGAGGTGGAGGTTGCAGTGAGCCAAGATCGTGCCACTGCACTCCAGCCTGGGCAACAAGAGTGAAACTCCATCTCAAAAAAAAAAAAAAAAAGAATATGCAGCTAATAAGCAGCAGAGCTGAGAATCCTTAGCACTCTCAAGCCACAAGACTCAACAGGTTTCACGGAAACCGAACTGATTGAATCTCACTGAAGTATCCACAGCAGGTCCAATCTGCTTTCCTTTAGCTTTTTCTAGATCACCACAGAGAAGGAATACAAATATAACAGTTTCTGATCCTGAAAAAAAAACCAACCCAACTTTGTTTTCCAGAAATCTTTGCTATTTGTAAACTAGTCAGATTTTAGACTGGGCATGGTGGCTCATGCCTGTAATCCCAGCACTTTGGGAGGCCGAGGCAGGTGGATCACGAGGTCAGGAGATAGAGACCATCCTGGCAAACACAGTGGAACCCTGTCTCTATTAAAAATACAAAAAGTCAGCCGGGTATGGTGGCATGCGCCTGTAGTCCCAGCTGCTAGGGAGGCTGAGGCAGGAGAATGGCATGAACCCGGGAGGCGGAGCTTGTAGTTAGCCAAGATCGAGCCACTGCACTCCAGCCTGGGTGATAGAGCGAGACTCTGTCGCAAAAAAAAAAAAAAAAAATTAAAGAGGAGGGGACACACATCTTCTACCTTCCTCACCAATGTTTGCTTTCTACTTACACAAAAAAGGGAAAGTAAAAACATCCTGGTTGTATTAAAGGTTGGGGTTAGAATGCAAATATGGTTCATCTCAAGTACAAAAGAAAATTAAAAAATACAAACTACCATCAGAGAATACTATAAACACCTTTATGCAGATAAACTAGAAAATCTAGAAGAAATGGATAAATTCCTCGACACATACACCCTCCCAAGACTAAACCAGGAAGAATTTGAATCTCTGAATAGACAAATAGCAGGCTCTGAAATTGAGGCAATAATCAATAGCTTACCAACCAAAAAAAGCCCAGGACCAGATGGATTCACAGCCGAATTCTACCAGAGGTACAAGGAGGAGCTGGTACCATTCCTTCTGAAACTATTCCAATCAACAGAAAAAGAGGGAATGCTCCCTAACTCATTTTATGAGGCCAGCATCATCCTGATACCAAAGCCTGGCAGAGACACAACAAAAAAAGAGAATTTTAGACCAATATCCCTGATGAACATTGATGCAAAAATCCTCAATAAAATACTGGCAAACCGAATCCAGCAGCACATCAAAAAGCTTATCCACCATGATCAAGTGGGCTTCATCCCTGGGATGCAAGGCTGGTTCAACATATGCAAATCAATAAACGTAATCCAGCTTATAAACAGAACCAAAGACAAAAACCACATGATTATCTCAATAGATGCAGAAAAGGCCTTTGACAAAATTCAACAACCCTTCATGCTAAAAACTCTCAATAAATTAGGTATTGATGGGACGTATCTCAAAATAATAAGAGCTATCTATGACAAACCCACAGCCGATATCATACTGAATGGGCAAAAACTGGAAGCATTTCCTTTGAAAAGTGGCACAAGACAGGGATGTCCTCTCTCACCACTCCTATTCAACATAGTGTTGGAAGTTCTGGCCAGGGCAATCAGGCAGGAGAAGGAAATAAAGGGTATTCAATTAGGAAAAGAGGAAGTCAAATTGTCCCTGTTTACAGATGACATGATTGTATATCTAGAAAACCCCATCGTCTCAGCCCAAAATCTCCTTAGGCTGATAGGCAACTTCAGCAAAGTCTCAGGATATAAAATCAATGTGCAAAAATCACAAGCATTTTTATACACCAATAACAGACAGAGAGCCAAATCATGAGTGAACTCCCATTCACAGCTGCTTCAAAGAGAATAAAATACCTAGGAATCCAACTTAGAAGGGACGTGAAGGACCTTTTCAAGGAGAACTACAAACCACTGCTCAATGAAATAAAAGAGGATACATACAAATGGAAGAACATTCCATGCTCATGGGTAGGAAGAATCAATATCGTGAAAATGGCCATACTGCCCACGGTAATTTATAGATTCAGTGCCATCCTCATCAAGCTACCAATGACTTTCTTCACAGAATTGGAAAAAACTACTTTAAAGTTCACATGGAACCAAAAAAGAGCCCGCATTGCGAAGTCAATCCTGAGCCAAAAGAACAAAGCTGGAGGCATCACATTACCTGACTTCAAACTATACTACAAGGCAACAGTAACCAAAACAGCATGGTACTGGTACCAAAACAGAAATATAGACCAATGGAACAGAACAGAGCCCTCAGAAATAATGCCACATATCTACAACTATCTGATCTATGACAAACCTGACAAAATAAAGCAATGGGGAAAGGATTCCCTATTTAATAAATGGTGCTGGGAAAACTGGCTAGCCATATGTAGAAAGCCGAAACTGGATCCCTTCCTTACACCTAATACAAAAATTAATTCAAGATGGATTAAAGACTTAAATGTTAGACTTATAACTGTAAAAACCCTAGAAGAAAACCTAGGCAATACCATTCAGGACATAGGCATGGGCAAGGACTTCAGGTCTAAAACACCAAAAGCAATGGCAACAAAAGCCAAAATTGACAAATGGGATCTAATTAAACTAAAGAGCTTCTGCACAGCAAAAGAAACTACCATCAGAGTGAATAGGCAACCTACAGAATGGGAGAAATTTTTGCAATCTACTCATTTGACAAAGGGCTAATATCCAGAATCTACAATGAACTCAAACAAATTTAAAAGAAAAAAACCAAACAACCCCATTGACAAGTGGGCGAAGGATATGAACAGACACTTCTCAAAAGAAGACATTTATGCAGCCAGAAGACACATGAAAAAATGCTCATCATCACTGGCCATCAGAGAAATGCAAATCACAACCACAATGAGGTAGCATCTCACACCAGTTAGAATGGCAAGCATTAAAAAGTCATGAAAGAACAGGTGCTGGAGAGGATGTGGAGAAATAGGAACACTTTTACACTGTTAGTGGGACTGTAAACTAGTTCAACCATTGTGGAAGTCAGTGTGGCGATTCCTCAGGGATCTAGAACTAGAAATACCATTTGACCCAGCCATCCCATTACTGGGTATATACCCAAAGGATTATAAAACATGTTGCTATAAAGACACATGCACACGTATATTTATTGTGGCACTATTCACAATAGCAAAGACTTGGAACCAACCCAAATGTCCAACAATGATAGACTGGATTAAGAAAATGTGGCACATATACACCATGGAATACTATGCAGCCATAAAAAATGATGAGTTCATGTCCTTTGTAAGGACATGGATGAATCTGGAAACCATCATTCTCAGCAAACTATCACAAGGACAAAATAACCAAACACTGCATGTTCTCACTCATAGGTGGGAATTGAACAATGAGAACACATGGACACAGGAAGGGGAACATCACACACCGGGGCCTGTTGTGGGGTGGAGGCAGCGGGGAGGGATAGCATTAGGAGATGCACCTAATGCTAAATGACGAGTTAATGGATGCAGCACACCAACATGGCACATGTATACATATGTAACAAACCTGCACATTGTGCACATGTACCCTAAAACTTAAAGTATAATAATAAAAAAAAATTAGAATGCTAAAATCCAAAAAAAAAAAAGAAAATTAAAATTATCTTAGGCAATTTAGAAATAGCAACTGAGATAAGAGCTGGAGAGAGGCCTTTCATGGGAAGGTGAGAAGGGGTTACTTAGAATTGTTAAAGGGCGGGGCGGGGAGGTTCGACACAATTTTCTTACTTTCTTGATTCCCTAATGCTCCAGTCCTTTGGACTTCTTGGTCTTAAGGCTATATGAATGACCTAATTAGACAAGTTTCCCATCTTCCACTGATTCTTCACCGCCTCTCCACTATTTCTCAACCTCAATTTGTTTCCTACACACTGCCACCTGTGGCCAGCAAATTGACTAACAATGTACGTCTACTAACTTAACGGTCATGGATGTTAAACACTGTTAAATCCAGGAAACTGGTAAAGATTAAGTCTATAGCTAATGATTGGCAGAACTAAGTCTAAACATGATCCTTGAGATTCCAAAATCAGTGGTCTCTATACGTATCATGTTGTCTCTAAGGCTCAATTACCATGAATGTATGTTATGGTAAATGGGACCAAATAATGTCACAGAAGAGTTTTCAAAAGGAAGGTAAAATGAGGCAAGAAAAAAAGACAATGATAGGGAAGGCAATGCAAGCATCATATCTATTATTAAGGAAGAGCTCACAACATTTCCAGAAAGGCTTTCTAGGAACCAGCCTCGACTGAGGGCAGCACGAACAAGCACCATTTTCCAGGCCACCCCTTGCACCATCTTCATGATTTCCCACCACCCCTTTGAATTATTTGCTAAATCACCCTGATGCTGTCTTACACAGCATATTTTTAAAAGTTCTCAGAAACAGGCTCTTACAGTTTTATTTCTTCTTTTAAAAAAAGTTCCCGCTTATCATGTTGTACTATTTAATCAGAATATACTTGAAAACAAAAGATGCTTTGTGGTTTTTTAACTCTTGGTAATTAATCCATTGTAGGCAGTATTTTAAAAAATGATGTAGGACAGGGAAACCAATATGAAATGGGTAGTCTGAAAAGCAGTTACTAGATACTGACCACCATTTTAGGAAAGGCAGGCTATTTAACCCACTGTATGCTCCCAGGTAAACTTGTCTTCAATTCTTGTTAAGTCAAATATGAAAAACCAAACTTGCCATCTCTATAATTGCTATCGTTTAAAAAATTCTGTTGAGAGGAGACACCAAACATAGTATTTCTTACCCCGTGCAGCATAATAAAAAATAGGATTCCCAGCTTTGGAAGCCCCAGCTTGGTAGAAAATACTTAACGTTTTCAAAGCCTTGATCTCTTCTTTTTCAGGTACCTGATGCCTAAAAGAAAAAGAACAGAGTACCTCTGAGGCTTTATGTTGTCTACTGAGTATGTAAAATAGTCTATAATTGGATAAACAATAAAATACTAAAATAAAAAATATTTTAAAAGCAACAGGCATTCTAAAGGGTAATCTGACAACATGCACCAAAAATTTCAAGGTATTGCTCTTTGAGCCACAAAAGCACTTTTAGGACTATTCTAAGAGAACTATTGGACGAGGATATTAACCATAGGATTGTTTTTACTCATGACATTTTTGTCCCAGACAGAAGTTTATGATTTTTGAATGAATTCATTTTATCAATCTTTTCCTTTCTAGCTTATGGATTTTGAATGGATGAAAAAGGCCTTGCTTTGCCATGCTGTTTTGATTTATGGGAGTTTATCCTCATAAATGGTATGAAGATATTTTTCCAGATCATTACTCAGTTTTATCAACACCATTTATTGAAAGTCCAACCTAATCTCCTGGATTTCAAATACTCAACATGTACAGATTTTTCTTTGTTTTTATTCCTTAAACAATATGGTATAACAACTATTTATATAACATTTATATTGTATTAGATATTATAAGTAATCTAAAAATATTTAAAATATATGGGAGGATGTGCATAGTTTATATGCAAATACTATGACATTTTGTATCAGGGACTTGAGTCTGTGGATTTTAGTGTTCATGGGAGTGAGATGTGGGCAGGAGTTTGGGGGGTGGTTCCTGGAACCAATCCCTGACAGATACTGAGAGACGACCGTATTATAAAGCTAGGCTTTGTCAAAGAAACATATGTAAATGCTTATTATACAGTCCATAGTGTTTAATCACTTTCTGATATGTGTCAATAAGTATTTATCATTAAAGTAGACTTAATTACTTCCTTTTTTGGTCTATCTCTGGTGTTTGAATCAGGAAATCAATTGTTTCTTAGACTCAACACAATGAGTTTCTCAAATAATACCTTTATCTATCTCATCATAACATAAATGCAATCTGAGGCTTTATGTATCTTATTTCCCAATAACTGTAGACTATTCTTCATAAACTGACAACAATAACTTCCCAAACATACCGCTCTCGCACATTTATTTTTCCTGAAAGTCTATCGGTCAAGAAAAAGTAGTAATAAAGATTAGTGTCTTTACATATTTTGAACACAAAAGTTTTACATCTAAAAAGTTTAAATACACATAAAATACAAGTATAAAGCTGTAATGAAGTAGTTATAATTCTCACAGTAAAACCCACTAATATTTGAAAGTCATTTTTTTTACCTTGTAAGACATTTTACATCATCATCTGCTGCTTGGTTTGATGTTCCCATAACCCAGTCTGTCAGGTATTCTACCATCTTATTCCTATAGAATGGTGGAGAAAAGAGAAACAGCACACAATTTTTCTGAAGTCATACCCCCCCACACACACACCTTCAGTGATGTAAGATTACTTATGGTGCAAATAATTTGGCAGATAACCCAGGTGACATGACGACTTTATAAAAGAGATACTGCTATCATAGATGTAAAAGCCAGAAGGAACAAGCAACGTGGATACTGATCCTCCATCATGGCCTTTAGTTATGCTATCAGATTGGAAACAGAATCAAATTCTTAGCTCAAGTACAGCAGAGTTTTAGAAAAAGGGAGGCTTGCCACAGGCACAAAGCTTAGGGAAATTTGAGGAGAGACACAGAGAAAAACAAACATGTAAACTGCTCTCTTTTTATGTCTTTCTTCCTACCAATAACCAGATATCTACTCTATTTCTGTACTTCATTCAACAAATTAAGATTTACAAGACCCTACATTGCTCTTTTGAGAACTCACCTAAATTTCATCTCTCGGCAAAATGAGAGGTCATCTCTCCTTGCCATCGTTACTTCAACCAACTGACACAGTTTCGTTTTTATTTGAATTGCATGGACCATATTCCCAAGCACACAAACGTACCTATACAGACATAGAGACAATAAAAAAGTTATCAGATACAGACACAAGATAAGGCATTCAAAATACTTTAACCATCAAATAAAATGAACTAAACGTAAGTTTGAAAACAGTAAGACATTTATTTATAGGAGAGCATACACAATTTCTGGTTACCTTGTTGTCACAGCCTAGTTTGTGTGCAGTAAAGAATGGCAAATTATTTTATCAATTACTATCAATATCAATGTGTGACAGGTTTTTCTTGTCTCTTAAATCTTAAAGTATGTTTCTGCTACATTTCAGTAGAAGGCTTACCTGACCAGATTTAACATCATTGTTTCAATGCTAGCTTGCTCTAGATGTTCAGAGCTGCCTTCAGTATGATTATCTAGCAAGTTCTTCAATATAGCTAGGGTTTCCTCTACAAATTGAGTATTGGTATCAGTCAATAAAACCTATAGAGAGAACAAATATATTAATGATTTGCCATCAATGCCCAGAAGACAGATCCCTAGAGAGATGAAACTGACTGATCTAAACACACAAATAGAGACATGCACCCACAGGCACGCAGCCAAACAGGCACACAGATATACACAGACACTCATACCCATATACAAGGCACGTATACCCTCAGGCACACATACACATCAGAGTTCCTAGAAGCAAGCTGACCATTCATTGAGATGATTCTTCTTTCTACAATTTTTTGACAATTTTTAAAAACTGTGAGTACCTAATTTAAATAATCTGAAAGAAAAAGGCTTCATTATTTCAAACAAGTCACTCTATTCATAGGGAAAGGTGAAAAATAAAAAAGAGCACACTTTACCTGTCCTTAGGAGTCAAAAAACTTGCTGATGCGTCTCTTCAATTTGTTAAATAGCATCAGATAAAGAGCAGGACTCAATTCTAGACCCACCAGGTCCTTACCATTGGTCCGTATTTGAAGTCCCACTTTCTCAAGCTTACACACCATTAACGACAACAGCTGATCCATATATTTGCTGACAGGTGTATCTGCGTTTCCCTCTGAGGACATCACTGAAATCATGGAACCCTTATGTTCACTGACCGGACCCATGGGTGGGCTATAGGTTGCCAGGCCAGAATTCCTTCTCTGCTGGAGGCACACTCCCCCAAGGGCACAAAGGAAGCTAGTCATGTTGATCCATGCCTGTAGGGAGTCTGTGTCAGACAAATCTATGGGTCCTCCTCCACTCACATGGGACATTCGCCTCTTAACAATGGTCTTGTGAAGCTTTCAACAGCCTAAACACAAAATTTTTGTGCAAAGCATGAATTAAACCTAAATTAGTTGAGACTTGACAAATTACTCTTTATCCAACATTTCTTCCGTGACAAACGTACAAAAAAATGTAAAAAAATACATTAAAATCAACCCCCTAAATTACCATATACATTTTTAAAGAGCCACTGATTTATTTTTGTCATACACTAATATAATTGCCAAAGTATCAAATTTCTTTTAAAAAGCTTTGATTTCACACGGATGAACCTTGGGAACATTATGCTAAGTGAAAGAAGCTAATCGTAAAAGGCCACATATTCTAAAACTCCATTTACAGAAAATATCCAGAATAGGCAAATCTACAGAGACAAAGTAGATTCGTGGTTGCCTAGGGTTGGAGAAGCGGGGGGAAGAGAGACAAGAAAGGTGGGGGGTTGTTAGAGGCAGAGATAGCTAAAGGATACCGGCTTTTTTTCTCAATTGATGAAATTGTTCTGAAACTGATGGTGGTGATGGTTGCACAACTCTGTGAATATGCTAACAACAGTCACTGAATTGGACACTTTGAATGCGTGAATTGTATGGTATGTAATTATATATTATAGTAACAGTTATCCCCCAAAAGCTTTCATTCTAAAGCTACATGTCCCCTCCAAATAAAGGTATGAGGTACACAATTTTGCTTCACGAAAATATAACTTTTTTCTTATTATAATTAAGCATGACAGAAAAATAACATGGGGGAAGAGCCAGTTTTTATAAACCACCTAATAATGAGAGCAATATGAGCATTATAAATCATATACACACAAACACCAACTCATCAATTTCCAAAGTAATGGATAATATAGTCAATAGTAATAGTTGAAGGAACTGTCCATATTTTAAAATTTTATTTTATCTATGGGTTCCATCTTCTGCCCAAGACATTCTTTAATTAGAATACCTAACAAAATAGCAAAATGAATGGTTTCCATGTTAATTTTTCTCTACCTCTGTTGCTCCTTTTCTGAAAATTCTGTGAAACACCCTGATGAAGGGAGAAAGAGCAAGAAAAGATAAAGAAATGGTCTTTGCAACAAACAGTCTCTAGCAGTGCTGCCCAGTATTTCTGTGATGATGGAAACATTTTCTCTCTGCTGTCCAACAGAGTAAGTACCTGTCATATGTGGCTACTGGGTACCTGCAATGTGGCTACTATATGATTGAGGAACTAAACTGTATTTAATTTTAATTATGTTAAAATTTAAGTTAAAGAGTCACACGTAGCTAGTGGCTATCATATTACAAAGTACAGGTCTAGATAAACCACAACTAAATATCAGTTTTCAGACAACTATATGCTTACTTTACTGAGTGACTCGTGAAAGATTACCAAAGAGAAGGACATATATTTAGCAGATCAGTTAATAGACAAAAGTCAACTTTACAGACTTACCTGGCCATCTTCCATTTGGGCTTTTGGATAGCTAAGGATTAGTTTTGTTGCTTGTTCCCATTTTGCATGTGTATCTTCCCAAGTCTAAAATGAAGACAGTTATCACTTGAAAGCAACTTTAAGTCTAGAGCTAAACATCAATCAGCAACAGCCAAGCTTCAAACTTGATATATATTAAGTACTCAGATATTATACTTGTAATATGCACGTATCTTGGATTTACTTCAAAGCTATTCCTGATCACACATATGTAACAAGAGGCTTCCAAAATCGAGCGTGGGTGCCTGGGAGAGGTGTTTTTGTTGCTTAGAGCACACCTCAGTGTTTCCTGCAGTGGGATGCTCAGTGCGCCTCAGCAGTGCCATCACTCTTTCGGAAGTGCTGCTGTGCCTAAGCAACTACAACAGCAAATCAAGTTACTGCACTTAGAGCCCTGCCTGCCAATGGACAACCTGATAAGCCCACCCAAAAGGCAGAGTAGGAGGAGCAGAGCAAATGCCTCAAATGATAAAGCCAAAAACTTCCGTTCACTAACCTCACAGGAAAGGTACTTATCTTAGACTCTACAATGTCCACAGCATAAAATAGCTATTCCCACCTATAATTTACTCAAAACAAATGCCAATGTGTGTAAACTTCACTATCCATAACATACGGAGTTATGGATAACATAAATTACATAGTCATATGTAATTTGACTATGTATATGGATAACATAAATTACATAGTCATACAAACGTAAATTACATAGTCATAACTGATAGTAACACGTACTGCCAGTTAATTTTAAAATCTATAGCACATTAAAAACTCAGTGGGAGACTAACAATTTATTTCAAACGCTTTTTATTTTCATCTTACTTTGTTCAGAAAAGGATTTCAAGTAAGCTACTTGAATTTCTCCTGTAAACTTACAGAAGTGTAATCTTAAATACATTCTCACAATCAGATGCCATGTGCTTTAGGGAGGTTGAGTAAAAAAACCACTATTCATATTTACCTGTTGACATCACATTGCTGACAGGCAAACTCCATGAATGTGTTAAGAGTTGGGCAAGAGGTTACGCACCGACACTTCGTCCACCCCACACCGGGTATCTGCTTCCTCACAGAGGTGGCGGAAACAGGACATGGCAACCAGAACAGCTTCAGTGTCAGGGTTCCGCAGAAACATGTACAGGGCCACTTCTAGACTGGTCTGCGCTTGTCAGCAAGTCAGGGGGGTTCCGCTGCATCCTGCTGCACTATCCTGAGAGTCAAGGGTGGTAGACATATATTTGCAACTTGGGTAATTTTATGTATAAAACCCAACAATGCAATAAACTGCGTGTGTGTGTGTGTGTGTCCACATATATCTCAGCATACAATAACTCATAAGAGCTTTCTCCTTTAATCATTATATGAATTTTTCAAACCCCAAAATATCTTGTCCAAATGAGAAATGAGATTATCTGGACCAACATAAAGCTACTATCTGTCCAATTTCAAATAAAATAGGTATTATCCTATTCCAGATTCCAGAAATGGAAACCGATTCTAACACGGACAGGTAAAACACCATAACATAAATCTACTGCAGTAACTATATAATGTACTTCCCAGTCAATTACAAATGACAAAAACAGAGGAAGTAACAGGAAATTCTATCTACTTGCTCTAGGGAAGTAATAAAATAAGTACACTGCGACACTCATTGAAACAAGGGCATAAACAAGAACAAAATATTGCTGTAGAAGATAGACTTGATTCTGAATGACCTATTCCCCAAACATGAAATGGAGAAAATAATTGACAAAATACATTCAAATTCTGCAAGTAAAACAGACAATAATAAATAGCATACTGCTTAGATTTTTTTTCTTTAACAAGGCTATATTAAAAATTAGGGATGAAAAAAGTTTTGGTTTGGAAAATAAACTCTTCTGTAATGACCCGATATTTTCACTTGAAATATGATTTATATTTAAAGGAAATTATACACACAAATGCAAATCACAGAAACACTTATCTTTAACATGAAACAAAATATTTTGTTTTTATCCCTGTACATCTGTACCTTTGTTAGCTGGTACAAATTCTATACTTCTATGCTATGAATGGTTTTTCATGAGGTGGAGGTTATCAGATACAGCTTGTATGTGTCAAGTGCTATTTACACATTTTTTTATTTAACCCTCACAACAACTCTGGAGCAGGAATTATTATTGTCCCCATTTTAAAGTTGAGGAATTGAGGAACAAGGATGTTAAGAACTTGCCCAAAATTCCATAAAGAGCAGTGATAGAACTAGAGTCTAAGCAGTTTTTCACTATTACTCTATATTACCTGGATGAAATTTACCAAAGTTCATTCAGAAAACAAATAGAGCACACGAGATGATACAGGAAAATTACAAAAGAAGCAGACCATAGAGGAGTTCCCTTTTCCCTTCTGGAGAGAGGCTCAGGAGTACATAGTGACACTTCATGACCCATGGACATTTGATTGGTATTTCCACTAGAAGGAGTATCACATCCTACTCCATAAAAAAGGAGAAAGTGACATGAACTTCTATCTGCCTGCTAGAAAAAAGAAGGAAAGAAGCTTTACTGACGCACTGACAACCAAGAGGAATAAACACTTATATCGGTTGTCTTCCTGTTTGAGACTCTCCTAGAAAACCTCTCCTCTCAATCTCTATGCCCCACCTTGAAGGAAATTCACTAGAAACCCATTAGAACAAATAATGTTCACTTAATGTCTTTAAAATTTCTTTCAGTTTCCCATTCTCTAAATAATCAGAAACAGTAGATTCTACAAATATAAAGTAAGTCTAACATAAACATAAGTAAAACATCAACAATGTAAATCCACTGTATGAAAACTATAATTTGGTCTCAATGACAAAGATTTTTTTTCTGCAAGATTTTATCCGTGCCATGTTGGGATAACTAGAAATTGACTCTTGAGATTAAGTTCTTCTGGACCAGTAATTAACCCTGGTATATACACCAACTATATCACAAGAGTGACTGTGCTGACCAGGGCACTACGAATTCATTACTGGATTCCTCATACTCATATTCTGGAGATTATGCCATAGGCAAGGGCACGAAAGTCTGAAGTCTAATCTCTTTCCAATCTTTGGAATAATGCCAAATTCAGCTACATTAACACATCAAATAAGCCAGATGTGAATAAACCCACTTCACCATTAGTCTATTTCTAAACAGAGACAATTTATTAATAACAAGCTGTATAATACTGAAAAGGATATGAGTTTCATACATTTAAGGTTTTTCACAGCTATGCTTCTAGTACCAGATAAAAATTCATTAAATCAAGTACTCCTAAAACTAGGCCATAATAGAATTCCTAAATTGATTAACTATAGAAACTATATGTTAAAAGAAATGTAAGACTCTTCTCTATCTGCCACAACCTCACCATGTTTCAATAGTGCAGAATCAAAAAATTTCACTCCACCCCAAGAAGTGTCGTGAAATTTTCAAGATGTGAAACCCTTATTGGAGGCATAGAAATAAACCTAGATTGAGGACCCTCAACCTTTTCCCTTTTGCTTCTTGATAGATAATTCTCTGGACTAGTCTAGCCACGACATCTAGGCCTTTATGATTTCTCAGAGCTATGATTCTAGAACTGGACAAAAAACTCATTAAATCAAGTACTCCCAAATCTATGCCATAATAGAATTCTTAGATTAATTATAGAAGCTATATGTTAAATTTTACGTATGAATTATGTCTATGTGTGAACTTGAGAGTAAAGATAGAATATGCTCCTCAAGCTACTTTGGTTATAGCAGCCCCCACTTTTCCTAGGCCTGTCCCATAGAGACCTATTTAACTCAAACTAGAACTAGAATTCATCAACAGTGTGGTTTTACGGCCAAAGCTTCAGAATAATTTTTAAAATGCTAATTTGCCAGCCCTTGTCCTCTGCACATATATATCCTTTTGAGAACCTTGGGGGGAAGGAGGAGCTGAAATAGAAACTAATTTGGCTATAAAACACTTTCTTAATCTCTCCCCATCACCATTCCAAATATTCTCCCATTTTTTAAAGATGTCATTTCGTTTATCTTATTTTTAAGAAAAAAATTTATTCCTGCAGATCAAAATTTCCTGCAACCACTTGAGAATTTCTGTGCTACTAAGCATTTAATGACTAGTTAATTTCTTGCAGATGTAAAAATACACTTGTGAGCTGCAGTAACATAAAATTTATTGTCACTAGCATCAACAATAACCTAATGCAGATATAACCAGACATAAGAACGGCATTCTCCCATAATGAATACCAGCTTAGAGAAGCTTAGTTATGTTAAGCATGTCAGTTGAATGATACGGAAATTAAGAAGAAAGAGAAATGTTAAGAAATGGTAAGGGCAATTAAGAATCTGATCTAATTATATCAGTATTCATTATACATTAGGTTTCTTAGAGACGTCTTAGTTTTCAGTTACGATCAGAAAGGATCAGTAAGTGCTCTTGAGCTAAAAATTACCCTCAAGGTCTTGGCGTTTCAGTTAAACCAAATGAACTTAGTGTGGTAATTTTGACGTATTTCATAAAAAAACACTTACACAAAGCAAGAGCTCTGGATCTGCATGAATTAGTTTCACCATGGACAAGAGAAGATACTTACAGCTTCTTGTCTCCAAGCCTGTAGGTTTTTCTTTAAATTTAAGGCTTGTTACTTTTTCTTTAAATATAAGACTCTAAAAACAAAACAAAAACATGGTATCAGACATAAGACTCAGGATAATAGCTATCCAACCTTTTAAAAGAAATTTATTATGAGAAAACTTTGAAAAAAGCTATTTTTATACTACCAAATGTGTGGTATAAGTAGAAACACTCAATAGTAAGCATAAGGTCAGTATTATTAAGCTTACAAAATGGAAATTGTTTTTGCACCATTTATATTATTTTTTAATCAATCTAATGAAACAATGAAAATCTACTACAATACTCAAAGCTTAATATCAGGTTGTAAAAAGCCTCCTATTTAAAAAACTATTTTCCAAAATGTAAAAACATAAGGGAAAAAATATTTGGTCTATAGTTCTCACAAATCTCCACACCGGGTAACTCATTAACAAACACTCCCCACACATATACGCAAGTATTTCACAGACTCTACAGTATTGTCCGTTTTAAGATGCAGCATTATTTGATGTCCCAAAAGGAATGAAAACACACTGTCAATTGTAAGACACCATCTAAAATACGATACACTCCCAATTTCAGAGAAGAGTAAAAATAAGTGCTCCTTAGAATTAATGAAATATGTTATCTAGACAATCTCTGTATTTACTAGTTTAATTGTAAAATCTGCTTTTTCCTTCGATGGCACTCCATCTCTTTTGAGTTACAGAATGCACGCATTTTGCCTGAAGAACATTCATAAAACAGAAAGAATTCAGAGAAAGGTAAAACTTATGGAAAATATGTTTCCATTACAGAGACATAGGATGAATTAAAATAATCATAGATGTTTTTCAACCAAAAATCCAACAATTATATTCTAGATCTAATATCACCTATTATTATAACATATTTCCTTCCTTTTCTTCTTTAAAAGAACACAAAACTATCTGATTTTGACATGAATGCCTTTATGTAAACATATATATAACATAGAAATAGTAGACTGTGTACCAACTGTGGACCCATAATACAAATGTCCAAGTAAACAGGCTGTCTTTCAAAGTTAAAAAGCGGACATGCATATCTACAACACAAATGAACCATCTTCTGTGTTTAAGTGAAATATGCGTTTGTTATTATACCCAAGAACACTGAAGGGCTGTAGTCCTCAGAAGGGAAGAATAGCTATTTAAATGCACACATTTATATTCAAGAATGTCACAACAGAAGAGAAATAGCAAAACTTACAAATAGTTTGCTTTTATATTTATAACTGCCCCTTAACCCCTAGGCAAATGTTTTACTAAATGATTTAACAAATGCTGGTTTTACTGTTTGCTCTCTTTCAACTGTATTTTTTCCTCACTCTAAGTTGAGGTGTTTCACCTTAGATCAAGCTGAAACTTTGATTAAACAAATGTATTTACTTTGACGTAACTAAGTGTAACTATCAAACGACTCTTCTCTAATGCAGCCATTGCACAGGAAGATAAGATCAGAGAACAAGTAGTAGATATCAGAATTTTTCCTTATTTAAGAATAATTTCCAAAAAAAGTAAATAGTCTTCTGCCACATAACAACATTTCAGACAATGATAGACAATATGTAACACAGCTGAAAAATTCCTATCACCTACTGACATAACCATCATGATGTCCAAGCACAATGCATTACTTTTTGTTTGCAGCGATGCTGGTGTAAACAAACTTTCACTTCTATTCATATAAAAAGAGTATAGCACATTCAATTATGTATAGTATACAATACTTGATAATGAGAATAAATAACTGTTACTGGTTTATGTATTTACTATAATATACTTTTTTTTTGAGATGGAGTTTCACTTTGTTGTCCAGGCTGGAGTGCAGTGGCGTGATCTCAGCTCACTGCAACCTCCGCCTCCCGGGTTCAAGCAATTCTCCTGCCTCAGCCTCCAGAGTAGCTGGGACTACAGCTGCAAGCCACCACACCTGACTTATTTTTTTGTATTTTTAGTAGAGAAGGCCTTTTGCCATGTTGGCCAGGCTGGTCTCAACTCCTGACCTCAGGTAATCCATTCGCCTGGGCCTCCCAAAGTGCTGAGACTACAGGCGTGAGCCACCAGGCCCAGCCTACTATGGTATATTTTTTATTGTTATTTTAGAGTATACTCCTACTTAAAGATAAAAAGTTAGCTATGAAACACAGCCTCAGAAGGTCCTTCAGGAGGTACTCCAGAAAAAGGCATTGTTACTACAAGAGATGACAGCTGGATCCACACGTTATTTCCTCTAAAAACCTTCCAATGGGAGCAGATGTGGAGGTGGAAGACAGTAACACTGATGATCTTGACCCAGTGTAGGCCTAGGCTAATGTATATGTTTGTGTCACAGCTTTTAACAGAGTTTTCAAGAAAATTAAAATAGAACGTTTTTCAAATAAAAAAACTTACAGGCTATAAAGAAAAATATTTTTATACAGCTAGCTGTACAATGTATTTTAAGCTGTTATTGCAAGTCAAAAAGTTAAAAAATTTAAAAGTTTATAAATTTTAAAAGCTACAGAAAAGTTAATTATCAAAGAAAAAATATTTTTTAATAAATTTGGTGTAGCTTAAGGGTACAGTGTTATAAAGTCTACAGTATAGATCCTGAGTATGAGAAAAAAAACAAGTATTGAAAGAGGCATCCTGTGCCCTGGACTCAGAGGCTTCCCTAGGGGGTGCCCCACTTGCCCAAAGCAGTGCAGCCTGAACCCAAAACTGTGAGCAGAGAGTCCCATGTGTGTTTGAAGGGTTTCCTATGTCCTCTGTGTTCTCCTATAGAAAGCAGCAGGGGTGTGTCGAGCACACACAAGACGCGCTAACAACAACCTGAGCACAACCTCATGCTGCTGAGATGCACCCGGACCCTGGACAGGCCGTGGTGAGAGCAGCCCGAGGATCGTGGCTGGGGACTGTGTCTGGCTTCATGGAGGAAGTCACATGGAGTGCCTTCTCCAAGAAGACAGCCAACTCCCTGCAGGCAGCACACTCCACTGCGCACCTATCAGTCTGTACAAGTGTGGGATTTCATTTGGCAGATCCCCAAGGCAGGAGAGAAAAGGAGGAAAGCTAACCTAACTCCAGGCTCTCCATGGACGCCAACATCTAGAAGTGTCTGACAGGAGGCATGCATCCTTGGCCCCGATGAGGCTGCGGGCCATCCCTGCAGTCCTGGCTAGGCAGCCGAGAGGCAGGCCTTGTGGATGCTCTGGGCACAGGTGCTGAGCAAGGTGGTAACCTAGTGCTTGTCCGGGAGCTGCAGCTGCCTGGAGGTCACGCGGTGGTGCATCGACCTGAGGAAGGGGTTGGTGCCTGCAACCGAACAGTGGGCATGAGCCTGAGGCAGCTGGCGCTGCACCCACGCCCTGCACACCCGGCAGTGCTCTGGGAAGTGGCAGCCCCAGGACTGGCTGAAGCACCAGGAGGATCCCTGCACGCTGCCTGCCTGGCCATCAGGCTCTCCTCCCGGAGCCTCATCATCAGTGAAGAACTGAATCTGAACGGGATTTGGAGCTCAAGGCTTTGCCTCTGACAACCTTGGGGACCCAGCCCTGGCTCTGCTATGTGCCAGCTCTGGGCTCAGGGAGACTGACTCCTGTCAACATGACTCTCTTTGGAGACACATCACCCAGATGGGGTCTTGTGTGCCCAAGCTACTGGTAGGACCTGTCAGCTCCACTGAGCTCCCTAGTGGCCTCTGGGAAAAGCGGGGTCTGTCCTTGAGGCGTAGGGTTTCTCACCCCTCAGCCACTGAACACAGCCACCCTGGAAAGCTGACCGGACACAAGATGAAGGGGCAAAGGGACACAGAAGAGCAGAGACTCCTATCTCTCAGGTTACCACTGGAACCTGAGAGATTCCACACAGGAGGAGCCAGAAGAGGGGAGGAAGGGGCCTGAGCCGGGGAGGGGCACAGAGGCTGTCCCTGCAGCACTAGAAGCTTGGTTTTCCAGAATGACCCCTGCCTGCCCTGGGCCCCCAGACAGCTCCTCTGGGTCTGCCCACTGTATAGCCACTGCCAGTCCATCCACAGTGGACTCTGGGCAGGGTAGTGGGTGGGCACATGGTGGCACACTTGGGAGGTCCTTGTCGTTTGCAACACACAAGGCTGTACCTGTGACCCGGACGAGCCCTGGCCTGCCCCGCCTCACAGCCCTGCTCCCGAACAGGACTCTTCACACCCCGGGAGGTTCTGGTGAGGCTTGCGGCAAAGCCTGGATGTCTCTCTGACTCTCAGATTTCCAAACCTGAAGCCCAGAGTGCCCTGCGTCAATGGGTGCCCAGAGGTCCTGCCTGTCACCTCCCTAGGGCCCCAGGCAAGCAGAGCCGTATCTGTGTTGGGGAGATGAGGGTGCGTGGGGGCAGAGGCATGGCCAGTCTGTCCTGGGCTCCGTGTATGTGAAGACAAAGCAGACAGCCTGCTGGGGTGTGAACACAGGGTGGGGTCTGGGCACGGTGCCCTCCGGCTCGGATGGCAGAGACCTGGTGCTGTGGACAAGGCTTCCTAACTTGTGCCGGCCTGGCCCTCCTGGACGCTCGCCCAGCTTGCAGACCAGGTGGACGGTGCCATTGTTGCTGCAGCGAGAAGAGTCCAGGTTTATCATGCACTTGGGGTCCAGCCTGGCCACCTCGCCCTGGAGCATGCTGGGGATGCTCTGCCGCTCATCGTCCTCAAGCCTGTGCTTCCGGGTGCACACCACTGTGGACGTGAGGAGGCAGCATGGTGACCACAGTGGGCACACATGGTCCAGGGCTGGCCATCCGCCCTCTGTAAAGCCCAGCCCAGCTGGATGTATGTGATGAGTGGGCCGTGGATGGCAGTCATGGCTGGAGCGAATGTGCGGTACAGGGAATGGCTGAAGAGGGTGAGCAGATATTGGCTAGGACAGCATCCAGGAGCTGCTGGCATAGGTACTGCTGTTTGGTCAGCGGCACCAGGGGCAGCGGGCTGGCGGTAGGATGGGCACGGTCAGAAGCCCGGGACCTGAGGGTTCTCCATTTAGGGGGCCTTCCTACCTCTGGCCAGTCCTCACTCACAGCCAGATTCCCGAGGCCTCTCTCTTAGCCTCCACCCTTGTGCAGACAATGTTGGCCGATCCTGGGTATAATCCCCACCCCCACAGCCTTGTCCTCCCCAGAGTCCCTGCTGTCTCTGGACCGGGTGGCAGAGGCACCCACGGGGGCCACAGACAGAGGGTGACTTCTCCCACGTTCCCGCCCAGCACAGCAAACCTGGCCTGGAAGAGGCCTGGTGGGCAGGGTCTCAGATCAGGCCCAGCCCCCACCCAGCCTGACCATGAAGGCCCCTCCAGTGGTGCCCCCAGGAGCTCTTGAGGGAGCCCCGATCCCCCAGGGGTCCCCAGCATCCCACTCACCACCGCCATGTCATTCTTGAGTTTCTCCAGGGTGATCTCACACTTTGGCAAGGTCTTCAGGGGACCTGCAGAGAGAGGGGACTTGGGCTGAGCTCTGTGCTGGAGGGCTGGGAGACATGGCAGGTCTCAGGCTGGGATCTGGGATCCCAACCACTGCCACTGGGCCTCGGCCCTCAGAAACCTCTGCAGGAGCTCCCTTCAGCTGACCAGCTGTTCCCAGACCCAGAGTCTAGGCAGGTGGCCCTCACCCCTAGGAGCTGCCCATCCCTGTTGGCAGTGAGGCAATGGGTCAAGAGAAGGGACAGTGGCCAGGACCCTGACCAGGCTGGAAAGGCCTCAGTTGCACCTAGGCCAGTCCCTGTCCTGCTCAGTCCTATAACCCTAATGAAGAATCAACTCAAGAAGGCCTGGAGGACCACCCAATAGTGACTGGCATTCTATCCAGACAAGCAAAACAGAGAGACACTTCTAGACGGGGGTGGGGGGACACCCTGAGTTTAGGTGACAGGGAAGTATAGGCCAACGCCCATGCGGTTCTGAGGTGCTGCCCGAGCTCACAGCAGCCCGTGGCCGGTGGCCCTGCCTTCCACCTGCTTCTCACCAGCACCGTCTTGTTTCATTTTCATGACAGCACACATGGGCTGCAAATGGGGTAACTGAGATGCAGTCGCCTGTCCATGGTCACCGGGAAGTCAGGGGCAGAACTCCAGGTCATGCTCAGGCCCATCACGGCCAGCTGATGTTCAGGTCACTGCAAGCTGGGCCCCCAACTACTGGCTGGATGAGACCTGGCTGTGATGGGCCAGCATGAGGGCCACAGCAGTGGTCAGGAGTAGGGCAAAGGCTGGGCACCGGCCAAGATGAAGCCTGGGCTCGAAGCCCCAGCACACACCAGAGTGGAGACTTGGAGGCCTCTGTCCAGGGCCCAAAGAGCTGCCTGGGGCCTTTGCTAACCCCACATCATCACCAAATGCCCATCCATGGCTGGACGACCCACGCCCTTGTGGACCCTACGTTGGCTGTAGGCAAAACTCACTGCTTGGAGAGGTCTGTCACAATGTCCAGAAGGCTCTTCATCTTGCTCAGGTCCTTTTTTCTGTCTGGGACAGCAGAGGGGACCATAAGACACGAGCCTGGTGGCATCCCCAGGGCACTGGCCCCCACCCCGGCCGCAGCCCACCTTCACTCTTGTCGATCTTGTTGACCACGCGGTGCAGGGGCTTGATGTGCTTGGACAGCTGCTTCAGCGTGTCCCAGTACAGCTGCTCCTGGCCCGGCTGGAGCCGGCTGGACTCATGACAGAGCTGGGGTCACTGCAGGACTATGGGCGGGTGAGGCCTCAGCCCTAGACCCTCAGGCTGGGAGCTTGGGCTCTGAGGGCCCCAGAGCACGCATGAATGGTATGACCTGAGGCCTTTTAAAGGTGAGGGGTGACCTAGCACCTCAACCTGCCAGGCCGTGTACAGCTCACATGATGGAGCTGTGGGTCCCAGGCCTGGCTTAGCAGGTGTGTGTAAAGGACTAGGGGAGGGGACACTGGAGTTCTGTGGGGTTTGTGCTGTTTCTGGGTGCTGGGAAGGCTGCAGTGTGGAGCTGGGCAGGAAGCTACGGGGGACAGAGCAGGGCTGGAGCTGCAGCCAAGCGGGAGAAACATGGGAGCTGGGCCCAGGCAAGGCAGCCACCAAACTCACTCTGCAACAAACCACAGTGGTGACCAATCCCCATCCTCCTTCCCATGCCAGCTGGGCGGGACCTCACCCGAAACAAGGGGTGGGAAAACTGGCAAGACCAGCACCCCGAGCACAGAGCCAAGAGCACACACAGCTGGCATCCTGCTTCTGGAAGGTGATGGGATGCCAGCGAGACTGCAGGGTGGACACTTCCTTCAGCTAGAAGTCTTACGAGCATACCAGCTGGGTCTGCACCAGCTGAAAACACCGGCTGTTCCATGGCTGCTCACTTTCCAAATACCAAGAAATGGAAAGAAAAGGGAAGTTTGGCCCGGCACAGTGGCTCATGCTTGTAATCCCAGCACTTTGGGAGGCCGAGGCAGGTGGATCAGTTGAGGTAAGAGTTAAAGACTAGCCTGGCCTGTCTCTACTAAAAATACAAAAGAAAAATTAGCTGGGCATAGTGGCACGTGCCTGTAGTCCCAGCTACTTGGGAGGCTAAGGCAGGAGAATCGTTTGAGCCTGGGAGGTGGAGGTTGCAGTGAGCTGAGATCACGCCACTGCACTGCAGCCTGGGCGACAGAACAAGACTCTGTGTCAAACAAAAAAAAAAAAAAAAAAGAAAAGAAAAGGGAAGTTCTAGGCTGGGCTTGATAGCTCATGTCTATAATCCCAGCACTTTGGGAGGCCGAGGTGGGCAGATCTCTTGAGGCCAGGAGTTCGAGACGAGCCTGGCCAACATGGTGAAACCCTGTCTCTACTAAAAATACAAAAATTAGCCAGACATGGTGGCAGGTGCCTGTAATCCCAGCTCCCTGGGAGGCTGAGGCAGAATAATCCCTTGAACCCAGGAGGCAGGGGTTGCGATGAGCCGAGATCTCGCCACTGCACTCCAGCCTGGACAACAGAATGAGACTCTACATGAGAAAAAAAAAAAAGAAAGAAAAAAGAAAAAAGAAAAAAAGAAAGGAAAAGAGAATCTCATTTTCCTGCTGGGCTTGACCTGAGGTGTTTAGATGAAGTGAGGTCCTGGACAGGGGAGGGACGGTCCAAAGAGGCAAGAGCAGCAGCTTCCACTGGCTGGGCAGTCACTACATCCCACCACCAGGCTGGCTCTCAACACACACTACGTCTTTCCTCTGCATGAAAGACCAGGAAAAGGGAGCCCCCAGCAGGCCTGAGGACATGTGGAGACACACAGGGAAGTGTGGCAGTTGGGTTCCAACCTTGTCACACAAGGTGGTCAGCCTCCCCCAGCTGTAAGTGAACATAACTTCTGTGGTGTGTTTCACACAAGACTCCATCTAAGAAAGAAGATGACTGCTGGGCACGGTGGCTCACACCTGTAATCCCAGCACTTTGTTAGGCTGAGGAGGGCAGATCACCTGAGGTCAGGAGTTCGAGACCAGCCTGGCAAACATGGTGAAACCCAGTCTCTACTATACTTTTACTGATAAAGCAGACAATGAACATAATGTATAGAAATCTTGAGCACAAATAGACATCAAAAGCACAAACAACAAAAGCAAAGATGTAATTACATTAAACTTGTCAAAAGTATAAGCAACAAAGGCAAAGATGTAATTACATTAAACTTAAAACCTTCTGCAAAGCAGAGGAAGCAATCAGTAGAATGAAGAAACAACCCAGAGAATGGAACAAAATATTTGCAAACTATGCATCAGCCAAGGGGTTAATACACAAAATATATAAAGAACTCAAACTACTCAAAAGCAAAAATACAAATAATCTGATTTAAAAAAATCTACCCAAAACCTTTGTCTCTCACCATTATTTCTCCACCTTCTTTTCCCGACCGCCTTTGGTCTCCTCCCCCTCGCCACCCATTTTCTTCCTCCATCTACCCCAAAACTTTTTCCCCACCATTTTTCCCCCACCGTCATTTCGCAAAGCCTTCTCTACTCTCCCGCTCACCACCCTTTTCCCCATCTATCTGCCCAAACACTTTCCCCACTGTTTTCTCCCACCGTCTTTTCCCCTTCTCCCTGGCCACCTTCTTTTTCCCCGTCCCACTCTCATCACCATCTTTTGCTCCTTCATCTAAGCAAAAGTATTTTCCCCCCTCTTTTCCCAAAACCTTCTCCTCACTCCTGCCGCTCACCAACCTCTTTTCCCCCTTCATCTACCCAAAAACTGTTTTCCTCATCGTCTTTCCCCTGCTCCTCCTTGCCACCCTCTCCCTTCTCCATCTACCCAAAAACATTTCCCCACAGCCTTTTCGGAAAGCCTTCTCCCCACTCCTGCTCACCTCCTTCTTTTCCCCCTCCATCTATCCCTCAAAGTTCTCCCCACCGTCTTTTCAGTATTTCCCCCTTCCCACTCATCCTCTTTGCCCTATCCTGCTTTCCACTCTGTTTTGCCCTCCATCTACCCCAAACTATTTTTCCATTTTTTCCCCAACCCTCTTTCCCTGCTCCCTCTCGCCACCCTCTTTTCTCCTCCTCCTGGTCACCCTCTTTCCCCCGTGCATCTACCCAAACACATTTTACCCATCATCTTTTCTTCCCCGCCCCGTCTTTCTTTTCTGCCTGCTGTGTTTTTGCAAAACCCTGTCTTCCTCCCGCTGGCCACCCTTTTCCCTTCCCCCACTTGTTACCCTCTTTTCCCCCTCTATCTACCCAAAAACTTTTCTCCCCACTGTCTTTTCACAAAACCTTCTCTCCCTACTGCTTGCCCCCATTTCCCTCCCACCCTCTTTCCTCCTCCCCCTTGCCACCCTCTTCTCCTCCATCTACCCATAAACTTTTTACCCACTGTCTTTCTGCAAAACCTTCCCTCCCTCCCGCTCCCCACCCTGTTTCTCCCCCTCCATTTACCCAAAAACTTTTTTCCCACCATCTTTTCCCCACTGTCTTTTTGCAACACCTTCTCCTGCTCGCTATTCTCTTTTCCCTTTGTCACTAACCACCCTCTTTACCTCCCTCCATCTATCCCAAAACTATTTTCCTCCTCCTACCTCTTGCACCACACTGCTTTCTCCGTTGCCGTCACCACAAACCGCAGCGAGGCGAGCCGTCCTACCGCGGCTCCAGCCTCCAGCGTACGGCCTGTGATTACCCATTCCCGGTCCTCTAAGCTGGGCCCTGAGCAGCTCTACAGGAAGATACCGGAACCTTAAAGGGGCAGCCTTCCCTTCAGGATCATTCATATACTGAGGTTATATATAGATGAAGGTTCCTAGACTGCATGTTCTGATTGGATGAGAAAAACCCTCCAGGGTTACTGGGATTGGACTTTATTATCATGTTCTGATTGGATGAGAGCAAGTCTTAAGACAACAAATCACAGCATGAAAATAAAGCCCAATCAGAGTAGGCCTAGAGGTTTTTCTCTCATCCAATCAGAACATGTAGTCCAAGAACGCATGTGCGTAACCTCAGTATATAAAGCACGGTGAGAGCAACCTCAGGTCATTTCAGGTTCTTCAGTGCTGGTGTGCTGCTCTTCGCTTAGAGAACTAGGAGAGGGGACCGCCATCTGCTGCCAGCTGGAGCCAGGGCACTGGCTGTCTCCGGTTGGTGGTGGGGATGGAGCGGTCGAAGGGTGGCCTGCAGTGGGAGCTTTTCCTGCCGGGCAGGAGGAAGAGTAGAAGGGAGAGGCACGGACGCATGCTGGAGGCTGGAGCTTGCGCCACCGCAGCTCGCCTCGCTGCGGTTGGTGGTGATGTCGGACACTGCAGGTCTTCCAGAGTGGTAGACGTGCCGTTGGGTAGGTGAGTTTTCTGGGGCTGCACTGCCCACCTCTGGGGGCAGGGGTTGGGTGTCCTTTTGGGGCTCACTGCCCAAGGCTGCACTCCCTGTGGCAGGCAGCTGGTTCGGGGCACTCTCTGGGGTATTGCTGGCGGTTGGGGGGGGGGTTGGCTGGCTATCACTGGCTACACTGCCTGCGGTGGCGGGGGTGGTGGAGGGAGGCAGATTGTGTGCACTAATGTGTACTGCTGGTTGTGGGTGATGGGTTAGGGGCACTATTTTCTGCTCCACTGCCTGCGGCAGGGGGTGGGTTGGGTGGTTATCTGGAGCTATAATGCTGGCAGTGGGCGGTGGTTTAGGGGTGTTATGGAGTGCTGCACTTCACTTACTTGGGGTGCACTATCAGGAGTTGCACTGCCCGTGGTGGGGTTGGGGGGGGCGGGTTTGGGGCACTGACTAGTGCAGCAACCCCCTTGGCTGGGTCGGGTTGTGGGCCCTGTAATGTGCTACACTGCCTGTTGGGGGTGGTGGCTTGGGGGGGTACTGGGGTTATATGCCTGCAACTGGCACGGGATGTGTTGGGTGTGCTATCCCGGGGCTACACTGCTGATGGCAAGGGGCAGGCAGGTTAGGGGTGCTGTCAGGGGCTACACTGCGTGGCATTGTTGGGCTGCAGAGGTGGCAGCAACAGCAACAGTGGTGGCCTCCTTTCTCCTTCCAGTGACCATTCTTCTTTTCCCAGATTCCAGACTCTAGAGGGTAATCTTCTCCTGCTCATGCAATTGTGAGCACAGCAGGGCCCACACACCCCCCGTGGTTCCCCAGCCTGTGCCTCATGCTGCCTGTTGGGGAGACCACCTGGGACTACCGGGCAGGGATTAGTGGGAATCATGGGGGACTGTGGGGCCAGGGCACTGTAGGTGGAGGCGTCAGGAACAGGAACCAGCACTTGGGTGGGGAGGGCTGCCTAGGTCTGAGTTTTTCCTAGTCCTGCTCCTGGAGGAGTGCAGCCCTGGTGGGCCCAGCAATTTCTGGCCAGCTGCACCTGAACGGGGGCACTTTCAGCGAAGGCACTCACACCCACCTCAGGCCCCAGTTCTTGGCCAGCTTTGCCAGAAGTAGAAGCTGGACTTTGGAGGGTGGGTGTGAGTGCCTTTCCTGAAACTGGTCCTTGCCACCCAGTGGCCAGCGTGACAAGGTGAGGCTCTAAGGCTACCACTCTCTGCATCCCATTCTAGGCTTTTCTGGTTTTGCCCTCCCAGCTGCTCCAAGCCAGGATGGAGGAGGAGGACAAGGAAGAGTCACCTGTGGTAAACTGGAGCCTGCATATGGCTCTGCAGCTGGTCTCACGAGATTGGTGGCAGCGACGGAGACTGCAGCTCGACTGGAGTGGTAGGAGGGTGCCCGCGGGGGCAAGGTGGTAGGAGCCTTGTAGGGTGGGCTGCTGCATTGAGGGCGACAGCGGTTGTATTGGCATCGGTGCTAGTGGTGGTATCAGCATTAAGTCTGGGGGCTGGGAAGGGGGAGTAGGAGCGCTGCAGGGCCCAGCCCGACCTGGGGATGGGGAGGAACCTGCGGGTACTGTACCAGGCCTTGGTGGCAGCAGTGGAGGTGCACCTAGGGAAAGGAGGAGTCCTTCCCCTTCTCCTGCAATCTGTGGAGGGTGCCCTCCTCCTGCTGGTGACTGAGCCAGGCGTGAGGGGCAGGATTGTCTTATTCTTAACAAAACTTAGGGGGTGACTATTTGTGTATCTTGTTTCTTTTTTGTTGTGATAGTCTCTGACTTTTTCAAATTTCATGAATTGGGGAGGGGATAAAAGGTATCATAATAGGCCTTCTACTTCCCACACCTGTTCTTTTTTCTTTCTTCTAGTCTGTATTGTCTTCTTCTCATCTTCTTGTTTCTCTTTATTTTCTTTTGCTGCTGCTTCTATTTCATGTTTCTATTGTGGTTTATCCTCCTTTTTAAATTTTCTTTATGCCAAGCAATGGCCTTAACAAACAACAAACCGAAACTGAGTTAAAAAGAAACTACTGGTCCCTGTGTTGTATTTTTAAAATAAATGGTCCCTTACTGTGTTTTAGAGATGAGAAAAAAAATCAGTTGTATTAGTCACTTGAATAGGTATGCTTTCATGATCGTGTTAACCCACTTATGCCTAGTGTTCCATTATTGGAATACTGAGCATGAGGAATTAACTTACATCCTACTGCCCAAGGTCATTGACAAGGTCTGATTTTTCACTCATGCAAAAATTCAAAAAATTGCAGCCTCTTGCATAAGTGGGCTAATGCGTTGTAAGTAGTTACTCAAGGAATCAAAAATGAAGCATCACATAAAATATCGGTAGCAAACAGCCATTTCATTTCTGTCACATATTTATCTGGAGCTATGCAAGAGTCACCGGGGTAATAAGTTCCAGTTTATGAGATTATTAAGTGAACTGTATTCTCTTCATTTTATTTGTCTGCCACCATTTTCTTTTTTTCATTCATTCTTTCTTTTTTTTTTTTGAGACAGAGTTTCACTCTTGTTGCCCAGGCTGGAGTGCGATGGGGCGATCTCGGCTCACCGCAACCTCTGCCTCCTGGGTTCAAGTGATTCTCCCGCCTCAGCCTCCCTAGTAGCTGGGATTACAGGCATGTGCCACCATGCCCAGCTAATTTTGTATTTTTGGTAGAGATGGGGTTTCTCCATGTTGGTCAGGCTGGTCTTGAACTCCTGACCTCTGGTGATCCACCTGCCTCAGCCTCCCAAAGTGCTGGGATTACAGGTGTGAGCCACCACGCTGGCTCTCTGCCACCATTTTCAAGAGTATTGTCACCTGCATGAGCAAACCTGGTTCATCACCACCTCTTTGTAAGAAAAAAGGAAGTGGGGAGAGTTGTGTGTAACTTTTTTCTTTTTTTTTTTTTGAGATGAAGTCTAGCTCTTGCCCCCAGGCTGGAGTACAATGGTGCGATCTTGGCTCACTGCAACCCGCACCTCCTGGGCTCAAGCAGTTCTCCTGCCTTGGACCCCCGAGTAGCTGGGATTACAGGTACCTGCCACCATGCCCGGCTAATTTTTGTATGTTTAGTAGAGACAGGGTTTCACCATGTTGGTCAGGCTGGTCTAGAACACCTGACCTCAGGTGATCCACCTGCCTTGGCCTCCCAAAGTGCTGGAATTACAGGCATGAGCCACCATGCCTGGCCGTGTATAATGTTTTAAGGCAAAGAGTCACAACCAAAAACAAGGCTTTATTAACTTTTGCCTCTAAGAACCTGCAGTGTTGAGCCCTCTTTTATTCCTAGTATTACTACCTTTGGTGTGAACCGTTTTTTTATTTTTATTTTTACTCATTCTTCTGGAAGTTTATACATTTTCTTGCCTGCTTTAAAGACAATCTATATTATTTTTCAAGCCCACAGTAATGTGTAAGGCCTGTAATTTGGACACTTTTCAGTTATGTTTAAGGTTATGAGCATGTAAGATACTGTTGATATATGGAAGAATATGTCTAATTACCACTAGATAGCTTATATTGAAGAGATAATATCTAAATGTTTGTCCAGAGTTGATTGGGTGCAGTTTCATAGGTGTGTTTCTCAATAAATTGCATCCATGTTTTAAAGCATATAGGAATTTGAATACTGTTTAACCTCATATAGGCCTTGTTTGTAGGTTTAATATTTCTGAAGACAAAAGTCATCACAGCCCCCTTTAAGGTTCAGTAATATTAATAAAATTTGAGATACACAGGGTTAGAATCCAACAAATTCAGAAGAAAATTGTAAAATTATATAGCTGTAGAGCAGGAATGAAACTCAGGTTCTAAGTTCCTAGGGGACCATGAGCTACCATACAGGGGCATCAGTGACTGGGCATAGAGTTGGCAAAATTGCAGGATGGTAAGAGAGTGAGCTGTGGAGCCTAACTCTATGTGAACATGAATTTTTAAACTGCATGGTGCCTCAGTTTATCCATCTTTATGGTGGCGACAGTAGTAAGTTTTTCTTTTTCTGCTCAGTTGTCCGAATTATTTCCCTTGTCTGTCTTGTTGCCACTCTTGATGCTCACGTGAGAGGATCTAAGGTAATTTCTGACAGCCTGGGACTCCTTAAGGAAAAATAGAAGGTTCGACAAACCCCATTTTAGGAGAAACTCTGTTTTCCTCATGGAACCCCAAGAACTTTAAGCAGACAGGTCCTTCTCAAAACCTAAGGCTCTCCTCTGTTTTGCCTTGCGTTATCTGACCTTTTTGGTTTAGGTGGACATCAGAAATTAGTAGGGGAGAGAGATCTAAAGAAAGTTGTAGATGTGAAGATGTATTGATGGTAAGAAAAGTTATGAAGGAAAGAAATGTTGTATGAGAGAGGATCTTATATGGCAAATTGTTGTCCTAAAGTAGAATGACTAATTACGAAAGAGGAAAATACAGGACAGGTCAGAAAGTTTAATCATGTCATAGATGCTCTGTGGAAGTTGTGTTATGGTTCATGAAATGGGAAAGAAAATCTTAACAGCTGCTAGATCTTTTTCTGTCTAGAAGTGTTGTGTATGTGATGTATATATAAAGGAGCTCTAGTGGCTCGGCTTAAAAGAAAATGAAAGCTCTTAAATATTTTGTCAGAAAAACAGAAGCTCTAATGCCTTTTATTTCATGTGAGTTCAGTAATCTTGGGGAAGTAAAGACAGTGTTAAAATCATTGGTAAAATAAAAATATCTTCAAAATTTATCCATTTGGTCTAATTTAAGTCAAAGTTCAGAAGTGCTTTAATGTCATGAATTGATTGTTTGACTTTGGAAAATAGTTCTGTTTATCTGGTTTGGAGCCGTTAGATTTCTAGGTAAGGCCTCCAGACAGGTGGAGTTAGCCATGTCTCCTAGCTATGCTGGAAAGAGTCAGACTTTATCTACGGTTCCGTCTTGAATCCTAAACTCTGCACCTGGTATGTAATTAAAACTTCCTGCTGCTGCTAATCTCTGGGTTCCATTTAAAATCCTTCCGTCACATGAATACTATCCCCTGTACTAAATTTTTCCACAATTAAGTACTTAGAATAGTTTTTGCTGACTTGACCCAACCATTAGTGATATATTTTAAAACTACTTCTAATGTGTCACAATTTATTCAGCAAATGCAGGGAATGACATTTTTCCTTTTGTCAGCATTTACATAGCATTTATGTAGCAATGCTATTTCAAGTATTTTTAGTCATTTAAATATTGAATAATAGATAATGCTTTTGATTCTTTCATTTCTATGTAAATAAATGTAATTGAGATATTTAGTAAATAGTATCAATTACATGTCTCACTTATAGAATATACTTATCAAATTGGGATTATTCTTTTTATACACTACATCATATTTCCTTGTTGGTTTTATAATAACTTAGAAATAATATTCTGGATTAACTGTGTGACTCATGAGAGAGGGAGTTTGTGCAATTATAGTCTTTACAAATTTTTATTAGATTTTCAAGACTTACACTGGAACTGTGAGAACAAGGTAATAAATAAGCATATCTATTAATATCATCTTTGGTCAACTCTTGGCTGGACCCAATGATAGTGTAGGAATTAACATAATTTTTCCTACTAAAGGTATTGGATTTGTTTTGAGAGACCACAGTTTAATATCATTGACATAGAAAGTTTAAAAATTGTTAGACTAAAATTTTTTAGTGCTGTTGAAGTTGTTTTACAGAAAAATATCTATCCTGGTTTACATTGATAGTTTTTTTTATAAGAACTAGATCAAGAGAAAGGGAGAGTAGTGATAAATGTCCAGGTTTTCGAGTTGAAAAGTAACAATCAGTGTATTACAACAGATAGATTTGATGTCAAATTGCAAATGCTGAAAACGTTATATGTAATTGACTAGCCAGAGTAATTATACAAGGCAAAGAAAGGAAAAGCATCTAAATAGGAAAGGAAGGGGTGAGATTGTCTCTGTTTTCTGAAAATGTAATCTTTTAACATAGGGAAAATCTTAGACTCCACCAAAAAAACCCATTAAAGCTGATAAACACTATATTCAACAAAGTTGAGAGTTACAAAATTAACATACAAATAGTATTCTTGTTTTTATACACCGATGATAAACTATTATCTGAAAAATAAATTAATAAAGTAATTCCATTTATAATAGCATCAAAACAAATATATAAATAAATAAAAGGCCAAGGAGTAATTTTAATGAAGGATGTGAATGATGTGTATACTGAAAATTATAGCACATTGATGAAAGAAATTGAAAGTGACATAAACATCCTATATTTATAAATTGAAAAAATTAATATTGTCAAAATTGCAATGCTACCGAAAGCAGTCTACAGATTAAATGCAACCACTATCAAACTCCAATGTCATTTTTCACAGAAATAGAAAAATTAGTCCTAAAATCTGAATGGAACCACAAAAGACCCTGAAAAACCAAAGCAATCTTGAGCAAAAAGAACAAACCTGGAGGCATCAGACTATACCTAATCTTTGACAAAGCAAACAAAACATAAAGTGGGAAAAGATGCCCTATTTGGTGCTGGCATAATTGGCAAGCCACGTGCAGAAAAATGAAACTGTTCTTCAAAAGGTTAAGTATAGAATTATCACGACTCAGTAAATTAACTCCTATGTATACAGCAAAAAGGAATTAAAACAAATGCCTTACACAAAAAGTAGCATACAACTGTTTATGGCAACAAAAAGTAGGAAACAACAGAAATGTCCATCAGTTGAGGAGTGGATTAATAAAATGTGATCTGTCCATAAAATAAAATATTATTTGGCAATGAAAAAGAAAACGGTATTAATAGATGCTCCAAAAAGGATGAACATTGAAAAAATAAGTGAAAGTAGTGAGTCACACATAACTATATATTATTATGATTCCACTTACATGAAATGTCCAGAATAGGCAAATCCTTCCAGAATTGGCAAATCCTTAGGAAGTAGATGGATGATTGCCTAGGGCTGGGAGGGTTTTAAAGGAAGAGTGGGGAAAATGGGAAAAGATTGCTAATGGGTGCAAGGTTTCTTATAAGGAGCATAAAAGTGTTCTAAAATTATATTGTGATTGTTTATGCACCCAGTTAATACACTAAAAAAACCTGAATTTTATACTTTAATTGAGTGAATTAAATAATACATAAATTATATCTCAATGAACCTGTGAAAAAAGTTTAAAAATATGTGGTATGCATAAACAAAAAGTTCTTGTATTTCCATAGGGTTTTGGGGAACAGGTGGTGTTTGATTATGTGAGTAAGTTCTTTAGAGGTGATTCATGAGATTTTGGTGGACCCAACACCTGTGCAGTGTACACTGTATACAATTTGTAGTCTTTAATTCCTCACCCCCTCCCACCTTTTCTCCCAAGTCCCAAAGTCCGTTGTATTCTAATACCTTTGCATCCTCACAGCTTAGCTACCTCTTATTAGCGAGAGCATACGATGTGTGCTTTTCCATTCTTAATGTTACTTCACTTAGAATGATAGTCTCTGATCGGCTGGGCGCGGTGGCTCACGCGTGTAATCACAGCACTTTGGGAGGCTGAGGCAGGTGGATCACGAGGTCAGGAGATCGAGACCATCCTGGCTAACATGGTGAAACCCCGTCTCTACTAAAAATACAAAAAATTAGCTGGGCGTGGTGGCGGGCATCTGTAGTCCCACCTACTTGGGAGGCTAAGGCAGGAGAATGGCATGAACCCGAGAGGCAGAGGTTGCAGTGAGCTGAGATCGTGCCACTGCACTCCAGCGTGGGTGACAGAGAGACTCTGTCTAAAAAAAAAAAAAAAAGAAAAACGAAAAGAAAGTCTCTGATCCCATCCAGGTTGCTGTGAATGCCATTATATTTTTTCCTTTTTATGGCTGAATAGTATTCCATGATGTATATCACAATTTCTTAATCTACTCATTGATGGGCATTTGGGCTGGTTACATATTTCTGCTATTGTGAATTGTGCTGTTATAAACTTGTGTGTGCAAGCATCTTTTTTATATAGTGACTTCTTTTCCCCTCTGGGTAGATACCCAGTAATGGAATTGCTGGATTAAATGGTAGTTCTACTTTTAGTTCTTTAAGAAATCTCCACACTGTTTACTATAGTGGTTGTACTAGTTTACATTACCACTAGCAGTATAAAAGTGTTCCCTTTTCACCAAATGCCCCCCAATATTTTTTATTTTTTGCTGTTTTGATTATGGTCATTCTTGCCAGAGTAAGCTGGCATAGCATTGTGAGTTTTTGGTTTTTTTTTTTGAGATGGAGTCCGCTCTGTCACCAGGCTGGAGTGCAGTGGTGTAACCTTGGCTCACTGCAACTTCCACCTTCTGGGTTCAAGGGATTCTCCTGCCTCAGCCTCCCGAGTAGCTGGGACTACAGGTGCCCACCACCACTTCCGGCTAATTTTTGTATTTTTAGGACAGATGGAGTTTCACCATGTTGGCCAGGGTGGTCTTGATCTCTTGACCTAGTGATCTACCCGCCTCAGCCTCCCAAAGTGCTGGGATTTCAGGTGTGAGCCACCGCTCCCAGCCTGACATTGTGGTTTTGATTTGCATTTCCCTGATCTTTAGTGATGATGAGCATTTTTTCATGTTTGTTGGCCATTTTTTATATCTCCTTTTGAGAATTGTCTATTCAAGTCCTTAGCCCATTATTTGAAGGGATTGGTTTTTTTCCTGTTAATTTGAGTACCTTGTAGATTCTGGTTATTAGTCCTTTCTCAGACGTATAGATTGTGAAGATTTTCTCCCATTCCATGGGTTGTCTGTTTACTCTGCTTATTGTTTCTTTTGCTGTGCCAAAACGTTTTGGCTTGATTAAGTCTCACCTTTTAATCTTCATTTTGTTGTCGTTGCACTTGCTTTTGGGTTCTTGGTCATGAAGTCTCTGCCTAAGCCAATGTGTAGAAGGGGTTTTCCAATGTTACCTTCTAGAATTTTTATGGTTGCAGGTCTCAGATTTAAGTTGACTTTTGTATAAGGTAAGAGATGGGAATTCAGTTTCATTTCTTGGGATGTAGCTTGCCAATTATCCAAGCACCATATGTTGAGTAGGGTGTTCTTTCCCCACTTTATATTGTTTGCTTTGTCAAAGACCAGTTGGCTGTAAGTATTTGAGTTTACTTCTGGGTTCTCTATTATGTTTCATTGGTCTATGTGCTTATTTTTATACCAGTATTATGCTGTTTTGCTGACTATGGGTTTGTAGTATAGATTGAAGTCAGGTAATGTAATGCCTCCAGATTTGTTCTTTCTGCTTAGTCTTGCTTTGGCTATGTGGGCTCGTTTTTTTTTTCCCATATGAATTTTAGAATTATCAGGAGCCACCAGGTGCTGCAGCAGCTTTGGGATAACTTGAGGGCGCATCCTGGGGAAGAAACACCTCCTGTCCATGGTGCTGACTGCTGAGGACAGTGCTTCGGCGTGGCTTCTCCGTGGCCCAGCTTCTTTGGGGCGTTTTTCTTTCATGGTGAGTACAGAAGCTTTCGTTTTGTGGAATGTTCTGTGCATTTCTGCTAGATTCTCACTCCTTTTTTCTCTCTTGATATCTTGCCATTAATTTTACAGTAGTACTCATTCCCTGAGGGCTTTTGAGTTTGGAATGTGTGGGAGGCTTTAGGGCTGTTTCTGAGGGAGACTCCCCATGTAGGTGGAGAGGAAAGCTCTGGCTGTGGGAGGAAGGGGAAGCCTGGCCCAGGTGGGGTTTTGGGGCCAGGCCCCAGTTTGGCTGCCTTGCTTTCAAGCCTCAGATGGAAGGAAAGGATCCAACTTAACCTCCAGGGTTTGCTGATTTTTTAATTGTTTTTATTTTTATTTTTATTTTTTGGAGATACAGTCTTGCTCTGTTGCCCGGGCTGGAGTGCAGTGGTGGATCTCAGCTCACTGCAACCTCCATTTTCTGGGCCCAAGGGATTCTCCAGCCTCAGCCTCAACAGTATTTTGGCCTATGCCACCATGCCCAGCTATTTTTTTTTTTTGTATTTTTGGTAGCAACAGGGTTTCGCCATGTTGCTTGGGCTTGTCTCAAACTTCTGAGCTCAAAGCAGTCCTCGCGCCTCAACTTCCCAAAGTGCTGGGATTACAGGCATTAACTACTGCACCCGGTCTGGTGAATTTTTAAATCTGTATCCCTGCTATCAGGACGTAGGGGTCACATTTCTCCACTCCCTGCAGTGCCTGCCTAACTCTGTCCCTCTAGTCATGGCCACCTGACTGGGGGAAGGGACCTTGAGTGTGGTTTACTGTCCTCTTTGCAGAAATGTCTATTCAGGGTCCCTGCTCATTTTTGGATGGATCATTGGTTTTTTTGTTGCTACTTAGTACTGTTAATGTGTTGTATATTTTCCATAACAACCCCTTAGCTGATTCGTGATTCCTCAAAACATTCTCCCAGCCTTTCTTTTTGGGTTCATTGTTTCCTTTTCCTTGCAAAAACTTTTCACTTTGATGTTGCCATGCATGTTTTCTTATGGCCAGGCATAATGGCTGGTGCCTGTAATCCAAGCACTTTGCAAGGCCAAGGTGGGCAGATCACTTGAGCCAAAGAATTTGAGACCAGCCTAGGCAACATGGCAAAAGTTCATCTCTACAAAAAATACAAAGAAATTAGCCAGGCGTGGTGGTGTGTGCCTGTAGTTCCAGCTATTCAGGAGGCAGAAGTGGGAGGATCACTTGTGCCAGAGAGGTCAAGGCTGCAGTGAGCCATGATCATGCCACTGCATTCCAGCCTGAGTGACAGAGTCCTTGTAGTTATCACTTCTATGTTTCCTTCAAATGTTCTAACAATTTTTTTGAGACAGAGTTTCATTCTCTCACCCAGGCTGGAGCACAGCGGCATATCAGGGATTGTGAGTCCTCCAACTTAGTTTCTATTTCTCAGGATTCCTTAGACATTCAGGGCCATTTGTGGTTCCATGTGATCATCAGCATTGTGTATTCACTTTTCTTAAATTTCTGTGCATAGTAAAGTATATAATTAGAGAGTCTGCTGGGACTGTTTTTCCTCTGGCACATTTTGATTCATGTATATTTTTAGTAATGATCAAATCAGGGTACTTGGCATATCTGTTCTCTCATACAGGTATTATTCTTTTGTGAAAACATTGGAATTGCTCCCTGTGGCTTTTTTGAAAAATATAGTATTAACCAGAATCACGGAGCTGTGGTATAGAGCACAAGAATGTATCTGTCCCAACTAACTGCAACTTTGTTTCCACAACCAATCCTCCCATTCCCTCCTTCCCCTCTCCTCAGAAAACCACTACTTATCCAAGGCAAAGTTTTCTGGATTCCATATAAGTGAGATGAATCTGTGGTTATTTTTCTATGCTTGGCTTATTTTATTTAACATATTTTCCAGGTTCATCCATATGGCTCCAAATGAAAATTACATTAATTATGGATGAAGAGTATTGTGTTGTGCAGATATACTGCAGTTTCTTCATCCCTTCATCTATGGATGGACAGGTAGGTTGATTCCATATCTTCTATATTGCGAATACTGTCATGAAACATGGGAAGGCAGGTAACTCCTTAAGGTACCGGTTTCCTTTGCTTTAAATGCATACGCAGTGTGAGGAACATCCCAACTTTTTCACAGTGTATTCACTAATTCACATTGGCATCAATAGCGTATAAGAGTTTCCCTTTCTGTAAGTCTACACTGGCTGCTACCTTCCAAAAATGTTATTCCTGTTTTTGGTAATATTCTCAGTGGAGTTTGATGGTATCTGATATTGGAGTGTGATTCTGACTTACATGTTTGGAGTGATTAGTGATGTGGAGAATCTTTTTTTTTCACCTGTGAATCAGTTTCATGTCCTTTGCAGAAGTGATTGTGCAGGTCCTTTGCATATTTTTAGCTTGTGTATTTTTTTAATCTTTTCCCCACTTAGTAGCTTTAGTGCTTGCATATGTTAGATAACAACCCCTTCCAAAATCACGATTCTCCACAATTTTAACCCAATCATCCTTTCCGCCAAGGTAAGATGCTTTCTCTTTGGGTTCATTGTTTTCTCCCCCATGCAGAAGCTCTAAAGTGTTGGTCTCACAGTTTTTTATTTGCTTTTGTCAGCAGGGATTTCTGTGTCCAATCAGAGAGAGAAAAAAGAGATCACAAAGTCATTGTATTGTCTACAGGTATTTTCCCTGTAAGTGAGAGCATGTGGTATTTTGTTTTCTGTTAGATTGTGTTAGTTTGCTTAGCATAGTGACCTGCAGGTCCATCCTTGTTGCTGTCAAGAGCATGAATTTTTTTTAAGCTGTGTAGGATGTTGTGGTATCTATGTATAGCACTTTTAAAGCATGTAATCAACTGTTAAGGGGGGACATAGGTCGATGTTATTTTATATTTCCATGTGAATAGCACTTCCAAGAACATACCCATGCCTGTGTCATTTTGAAAGGAAGATTTATGATTTATTTTCCTTTGTGTAGATACCCAGTTATGTGATTGCTCATTTGGATGGTAGTTGTTAAGTTCTTTGAGGAACCTCCAAACCACTTCTCATAGTGTGAGAGCTAGTTTTTATTCCCACCAAGAGTGTAGCAGTGTTTGCTTTCCTCCATTGCCTTGCCACCATGTTAATGCTTGGCCTTAGGACAAATGGCCATTCTGACCGATGTGAGATGGTATCTCAGTGTTCATGAGAGTTGCATTTCTCTGATGATGAGGGATGTTGAGGTGTTTGTTCATGTTCTCTACCCATTGTTTGAATGGTTTGTTTTTCTGCCTCTTGATTTTTTTAAGGTCATATTAGAGTCTGGCTATCAGACCTTGGTGAGAAGCATAGTTTGGGAACATTTTCTCCCATCCTGTAGCCTGTGTGTTTACTGTGCCAGTGATTTATTTTGCTATCTGGCAGTGTTATAGTTTCTTAGGCCCAGCTTGTCCTTTTGGTTTTTCTTACTGTTGCTTTTTGTTTAAATGCTTTTCCAAAGCCCGTACTGAGAAAGATATGTCCTAGGTTTCCTTGTAGGACTTTTATAGTTTGAGGTATTCTGCTGAAATCTTTCATTCACCTTGGGTTAGTTTTTGTATCTGACGAGAGTTAAGGCTCCAGTGTTGTCCATCTGCATGTGTCTAGCCACCTAGCCCAGTGCCCTTCACTGCATAGTGAGCCTTTTGTCCATCTGACGTTTGGTGTTTCAGCATGGCTTTGGAGTTTCAGGGCATTTTGTGGTCCCATGGGAATTTTAGCATTGTTTGTTTATGTTGTTTTTAGGAAACAAAATTGGCCCTGTCCTAAATATGTACAACTAGAGGGTCGAGTGGGACATTTGGGTCCATGCATGCATCGTATAGGGATGAAATCAGGGTATTTAGCATCCTTTTATGCCTGGTAGAGTTTTCATGTCTTTGAGTGAGGAGAGCGAGAACCCTCCTTTCTGGCTGTCTTGAAGACCACCCTTTGGTAAAATTTTCCCTAGTCATCCTGCTGAGGAATAGAACAGCAGGTTTCATTCCTCTCATGCAACGTGTCACTTTGTACCTGTTTCCTATGCCCACCCTTGCCCAGCCTTCTTTTCCAACCCTGGCAAGCACGATGGTGCTTTGTAGGTCTGTGTGAGATAAAGTTTCCTAGATTCCTCATGAGTGAAGTGATGCGAGGTTTGTCTTTCTCTGCCTAGTGTGTTTTGTTTACCATAATGTTCTCCAGGTTCCACAGTGTTGCCACGGATGACCTGATTTCAGTACCCATGTCTGGCTGAAGAGTATCTGGTTGTGACTGGATACTGCAGTTTCTGGATCTCATCCTCTGTGGGTGGACAGGTAGGTTGATTGCTTATCTTGGCTATTGCGACTGTTTCCACAGTCAGCGTGGGAAGGCAGATACGTCTTCTGTGTACTGATTTCATATGATTCCAGTAGCAGCACAGCTCAGTGGTTGTAAGTTTAGTTTTCTGAGGAACCTCCAGGTGGCTTCTGTAGTGTGCATACTAATTACCTGTTAACAGTTGTGGATAAGAAAGCTAACCTCTCTGGAAATTCACAGCAGCTTCTTTTAAGATACACAAAGGTCTTTGTAATAATCGTTCCACCAAGAGAGGCACAGTATCTGAGTCTTGTTCTGATTTTCATTTTTGCCATGATTAGTGGTGTTAACCGGGTGTTAACAAGCATACTTATTTTCAGTTTTATGTGTCTTTTGCAGAAAAGCCTCTTTGGTTTTTTTATCCAGTTTTGGTTTGGTAATTAATTTCTGTTTTCTGGTGTTTTTTGCTAGTTAGTAATGTTAGTTACTTACACCTTTTCCAAAAAATGCCTCATCAGCTGTGTTTTTCTCCAAATGCTTCTTATCATCCTTTGTATGTTTCTTTCTTTTCATTCATGTTTTTCATTCTTTCTTGCCCACAAGCCATGTAGTCTGATGCAGTTTCAGGTGTGTGCAGTGTTCTGGTTTTCCCTTACTTTGGTGACTGATGAAGTTAAAGAAATTCACCAGCTTATCAATCTGTTGCCAGTGAGTTTTGGTTGTTGCTTGTTTGTATTCTTTTTTGTCTTCTTTATTTTTTCTGTTTTCCTTTTTGCAAACCATGAGCATAGTTCCAAGTTGACCCTGGTATCTGCACACTATATGCTTTCTTCTTAGAGAGTGACTTTATCAGTTTTGGATAGGTCTTTCTTTCAGTTGAATGAATTGTGAATTTCGCACAATAAGGACCCTATGTTATTTTGCTTAGGGATATCCAGTTCCCTGAACACTGTATTGGACAGACTCTCCCTTCCCAGGGTGACTTTTGTGGTTGTTTTCAAACATGTGCTTACTCGTATGTTGTTAAAGGAAAGTATCTTGGTCCCCCAAAATCACTAAGGAAAACTCAGGCTGGAAACTGCTTAGGGCCAACCTGTCTCCCATTCTGTTAAAAGCCACCCCTCTGCTCACTGAGATAGATGCATATCTGATTGCCTCCTTTGGAGAAGCTAACCAAAACCTCTAAATAATGTAATTATTTGTGTATCTCTTATCCATGACCTTGAAGCTCCCTCCCTGCTTCCAGTCTTCCTGCCTTTGCTTAAAGTTGTTCCACCTTTCCAGAACAAACCTATGTACTTCTTAACATACATTGATTGTTGTCTCATGTCTCGCTAAAATGTATAAAACCAAGCTGTGCCCTGACCACCTTGGGCACATGTTTTCATGACTTTCTGAGGCTTTGTCAGGAGTGTGTCCTCAACCTTGGCAAAATAAACTTTCTAAATTAACTGAGACCTGTTTCAGATTTTCAGAGTTCCCCTTTTGGTAACCACGAGGGATTCTGAGTGGAGATGCCCCTGACCTTTGGCAAATCTCCTGTCAGTGCTTGGGACCAGTGTGAGCTCACTTTATGACCCAAACCAATAGGACAATTTGCTGAGATCTGAGAGCACTCCCTCCAAAGAATCCTTCATCTCCAAAACTTTGGTCAAGATCTAAAGTTTATTTTGCTGTACAACTCCTCTTTTTTTTTTTTTTTGGAGTTTTACTTGCGTCCAACAAGACAAGTTTTCACACCTCCATGATGTTGGAAGGCAGGTAACTACTTTATAGAGTTTGAGCTCACTTCTTCTATTAGGCAAATTTGTTTTGTGTGTTTGTTTGTTTGTGTGTTTTTCCTGCTTCTAGGATAGTAGAGAGTAGTTTGCAGCCTGAGATCCATCACTAGGTAAGAAACTAGTTTTGGATTCTGTCTTGCAAATTCCTTTTAAAGAATAAAGTTAACATTTAACAACCAGCCGGTGTTAATTTCTGCTTACACGTCAGAGTGCTCAGAAATCATATAATTTGTGTGACCATTGTTAGTTTAGCAGCATTTTGTCCTCGCTGAAATATGGTAATAAGATTAAAAGAGTTTTGTTTAAAGGAGCACAATTGTGTAAAAGTCAGCTTAATTAAAAGGGTAACATCCAGATGTGTGTGCATGTGTGCGCATGTTTGTATTTGAAAGGCCTTCATGTTTTTTGTTTTTTTGTTTGTTTTACTCTCCTAAGACCTTGTCTTTTTGTTGTTGTTGAGCAACTGTGTTTATGTTTTTTTTGTCTTTTTTTTCTCAGTTGACTGAATTCTGTTTTCACTTGATTTTTCTTGACTAAAGTAGTTATTGCAACAGAGGCTACTCTTGGGTTTTTAAGGAAGACTGTAGTTTAATTTAATGTTTAGTTTGGCTCGAAGAAAATATTAGTGTCTCCCTCTAGCACCACCAGACTCTTTCCTTGTGTGCTTTATGTAGTAAATTTTGCTATTTGATTTTCACCTGAATTGTTTCCCTTAACGTTCAAATTTAAGGCTGTTTAGTTGACAGCTGCCTAGGGTTGTGAAACAAGTTACCAAGAATCTGAAAGTCTGAGAGAGAAAAAAAGGGGGAGGTCTTCAATCTATAAAATGTACCGTGACAGCCCAATGCGTTCACCTTGCCCGCTGCCTAGACAGAACCGATTTATCAAGGTAGAAGAAGTGCAGTGGAGAAGGAGTAATTCACGCAGAGCCGGCTGCATGGCAGACCAAAGTTTTTACTCAAATCGGTCTCCCCGAGCATTCGGGGATCAGAGTTTTTAAAGATATTTGGTGGGTAGGGGCTTGGGAAGTGGGGAGTGCTGATTAGTCAGGTTGGAGATAGAATCATAGGGGGTTGAAGTTAGGTTATCTTTCTGTCTTCTATTCATGGGTATGACGGCACAACTGGTTGGGCCAGATTACTGGCCTGGGCAGGGTCTGCAACACGTATCAAGCCCTGATCTTAGGTTTTACAGTAGTGATGTGATGTTACCTGCAGGAGCAGTTTGGGGAGGTTCAGACTTTCGAAGCCAGAGACTGCATGACCCCTAAACTGTACATTCTAATCTTGTAGCTAATATGTTAGTCCTGCAAAGGCAGACTGCTCCCCAGGCAAGAAGGGGTTCTTTTCAGGAAAGGGTTGTTATCAATTTGCTTTCAGAGTCAAACCGTGAACTAAATTCCTTCCCAAAGTTAGTTGAGCTTACACCAAGGAATGAACAAGGACAGCTTAAGGGTTAGAAGCAAGATAGAGTCGGTTAGGTCTGATTTCTTTCACTGTCATAATTTCCTTAGTTGCAGTTTTGCAAAAGTGGTTTCAGTACTTCCATAGATATGCCTGATAGATTTTTAGATGTATTTATGTATTGTGTACAGAATGTTGGACTACTAAAAATATATAAAAGCTCTAATCGGCTTAAAGAAAAATAAAACCACTTAAGTTAAATACTAAGAAAGACTTGTGAAATGCTTTTTCAACTTTATGTAACTTAAGCAAAATCTTTAATAAATAAGCTATCTTTAAAATTATTGGTAAAAAAATATTAGAAATGTCTTAAAAATTGGCAGCATACATTTTTGTTTACATTTAGTATCAACCAATTTCATACATATTCCTGCCAAATACTATAAGGTGTCAAAATTTGGCATTGGGGTTTCAAAAGTATAAACCCAGCCCAAAACGGAATGATCTTTACTTGTGTAATTTTTAATAAGTAAGACATTGATATGGGGTTTAATAAAAACAGCTGCATGTTGAATTTAGTAAGATTACTAGCACTTCTAATCCTGCGGCATTTGGCAGTCTAGTCCACAGACAATAAGGTAAGGACTGTTACTGCCTTTGTTTCAAATCTAAACTATAAACCAGGTTCCTCTCAGTGTTAGTTCAGCCTATGCCCAGGAATGAACAAGGACAGCTTGGAGGTTATGAGCAAGATGGAGCCAGTTAGGTCAAATCTTTTTTTCACTGTCTCAGTTATAATTTTGCAATGGCGGCTTCATAACTTTAAATCATGACTATCACAGATTTCATAAATAATCTAGATAAACAATTAAAATAATTAGGTAATTGTAATGGGATAAACACTTGTAGACAAACTGGTCATAATTTAGAATATAAAGTTAAGTTAAATAATAGATATTTCATTATTTGGGTATTTTCCAATACACATATATTGTAGGAAAACATTCTTGCCAAAAAAGTGTCTTTTTTTCTAAAAAAAAAAAAAAAAAGAACATGTTTTGTCTAATTCAAAGCTTATTTAAAGTTATATATAAAACAAAGTAAAAGGAACCAGGAAATAAAAAAATGTAAAGAAAGTTGTAAAGAGGTAGTTTTTGAGGTAAAAAAGAGTTTAAAGAGAAATACTATTATATAAGAAAGAATCCTGTGTAGTAAGTTTAGTCCTAAAATAAAATAACTGGTTGTTTAAAAAGAAAGGATGTTCAGAACAAATCAGAAAGTCTGACCATGTCATGAACAATGTAAGTTACAATAAGGATTTATATATTTAAAAAATCCAAAAACTTTTATATAATAAAGTTGTCACATTAAGTTTTGGTTTACTTAGGAAAAAAACTGAGATTTTTTAAAATTGAAGTTATTACATCCATGTATCTTCCTGTATATGCTTTCAAAATCCTTGCAACATTGAGTTACAGGGCTTTTTAACTCCTATGTCTAAAAACGAAAACCAATTCCTGCTAAATCTTAAATACCCACAGCAATTAAAGCCTCATCTTCAGGACCAGTAGAAGATGCCAATTTAAATAAACTGCTGCATTCCTGAGACACAGGGCAGGAAATGAAAGCTATTGAACTCCTCAAGACCAAGAGACTATTGTGAAAGAGGTGGGAGCATAAGATTGTAAGGGCCGATTTTGAAAGATAAAGTTGGTTCAGTTTCTCTATACATTAATTATTAATGTCAAAATCACAATGATGCAAAACCAGTATATGGACCCCTGTGTCAGATTAACAAGGTTTTCTTGAAGCATTTACCAACTCCTTAGTACAGGTTATAAAAGGCTTATGGAAGTTATATTTTATAATCAAGATTACATTTTATAGATTTAGAAAATTTTAAAAAACAAATGTAATTGGCTTCATGCTGTTTTTATTAGGGCTTCTTGTTTAAAAAATTAAGTCTCCTGTCTCAAAGGATGAAGGTTTTCACTTTTAAAAAATCCTTGAATTATCACTTTGGTTAAATAAATGACTTTACAATGACCTGTAATCCTATTTTTTAATATCAAGTGTTTTAAACATTTTATATTTGACAAACTTTCCAAAATCAAATTATATATTATGTCTTTTTCCATCCTAAATAGAACATTAGTTTCTCTAAAGTCTAAAAATGACATAATTTGGCTTATCTGGTATAAAATTTATACAGGAAAGTACTGTCAGATAAGAAATGGTGTTTGGCTTTCTTTCATATCCATTTGTATAAATATGTTATTGGTATGTGTTCCAAAATGATGGGAAACTCCTGTAATTCTGATACAACTTAGTGTACATTATTCGTAATAATCATAATTGCTATGTTAAAATTATCGTGTGCCACGGAGGTAACACATTCACTTGTCAATTGTATCTTTTAACTATGGCTGCCTTTACTTTTTTTTCATCCACAGACGGTTATCTTGTTTTGTCTTGTTTTGTCTTGTTTTAAACCCTCTTTATAAGGTGGGTTTATAATCAGCTGTAGGACTCTTAACAGGTGCACTTAAATTCAGGTTTTCTGATAATTTTGGAAATTGTTACATTGGAATAAAGCAAAAAATTTCGGAACTCTCTCATGGAGAGCTGAAATGTTCCTGACTATGAAACGGAACAGGAGTTAATAGAAATAACTGAACCAACAGAAAATTGAAGTAATCTTTTTGACTTCTTGCTTAAAACATTGCTGATACTTTGTTTAGTTTTTCAGAGTTAAGAAAACTTTGTTAGTTGCAGATTTTAACAATAAAGTATATTCCTGTGAACAAAATTTGGAGCATATTTGTTTTTCTCTACCTAATTTCTCCAGAATTTGGAAACTGGGGGTATTCTTAATTTATGGCAATATAGTTATTTGCATAAGTGCAATAAGAATCTGTTTTATTTAGCAATAGGACACAGTTGGAGAAGTTGGTTATTTTATCAAGGGTTTGACTGAAATGGTGTGCTTTCCTTTAAGGAATCAAACTTGACTTATAGAAGCCAATAAAGCCCGTGGAAAAACTGGCCTCATATTTTGTGTACACAGTCCCTGTACAGGGTTTTGACCTGTGGTAAATAAAGAATGTCACTTTCTGACAGGTGCAGAAGCCCCAGGTTTATCTTGGAACCTCAAGAGGAGAGGAAATTCACTGAAATCATAGGTATTTGATGGCACAAATCCATGGCTGGGCCTGGCTTAAGAAAGTCTTATCTAAGATTCCTCCTATGGAACAAAGTTCCATCAAAGCCAATTTAAAAGCCTGTGTAAAAAATAATTATGGTTGTTGCACTGTATGCAAATAATTAGACCAAGAATAATAAAGCAAATCAGTTCTAACATGATTTATCTTTAGTAAAAATGGAAAACTGGAGAGAGAAAAAATTATGTTTCAAAACCACAGTAGACCTGTTTTTAGATTCTAGTCTTGCCTAATATTTTTTTCAATTTTTATTATTTTCTGCAGTTGGGACCAAATTCTAATTTTTCTTGGCTACAAGTCTTTAATGTTTTCAATTTTTTTTTCAATTATTCCTAACTTGGAGTCACTGAAAACTAAGCTGTGCTTTCTTAAAACCCTGTGAACTGAAGCCAGACAAATTAAACTTCAGAAGAAAATAACAGCAACCTGTTGACATACCTAAGCCACTTTCATACCTGCCTACTGAGGCATGGACTGCAGAGTAATGTGGCTTGCATTGATTTTTCCAGGATTGTTCTTTTGTTTGTTGTTGTTTTTTCTCACTTCCTCCCCCCTATTTTAACTTCAAAGGATGTGAGACATCACAACCTGCTAAAAATGAGCTTTTGGGACCTACCTCTCTAGGAATAAACCCTCCTAGCCATGAGAGATCAGATGAAACCCGAGACCAGAGACTCATTTTCTTGTAAAATGCTTTTTCCAAAAGATTTTTTAAAAAGAAAAGGGGGGAAATGTGAAAGGAAAATATCTTGGGCCCCTAAAATCACTAAGGAAAACTCAGGCTGGAATCTGCTTAGGGCCAACCTGCCTCCCATTCTATTCAAAGTCACCCCTCTGCTCCCTGAGATAGATGCATACCTGATTGCCTCCTTTGGAGACTAATCAGAAACTCAAAAGAATGTAACCATTTGTGTATCAGTGATCTGTGACCTGGAAGCTCCCTCCCTCCTTCCAGTCTTCTGAGTTAGCTTCAACTTGTCACACCTTTCTAGACCAAAGCAATATACTTCTTAGATATATTGATTGATGTCTCATGTTTCTCTGAAATGTATAAAACCAAGCTGTGCCCTGACCACCTTGGGCACATGTCATCATGACCCTGAGGCTGTGTCACAAGTGTGTTCTCAACTTTGGCAAAATAAACTTTCTAAATTAACTGAGACCTTCATTTGAGTTTGCTGCTGGACACCCTCATTGTGTTCGTTGGCCTGTGTTTCTCTGTTAATGCCTATCACGAATCGCTTGGGTAACTAAAGCTTTGGGAAGTAGTTGAAAGTGGAAGAGTGTGATGGCACTCCACTGACTTTGTATGTGCAGAAACTGCTTTGGGAATGCAGGGCATTTCATTGTCCCACGGGATTTTTAGTAGTGTGTTGTGATCCTATTTGGAAAACAAAAATAGGACATGGTCTATGTTTTTATTTAAAGGGTGCAATGGACCTTTTTACATGAATCAATGAAACTACAGGACCTAGCATCTGTTTCATGCTACAGTGAGGATTTCTTGATGGAGAGAGCATTCCAAATCCTTTCCAGCAATATTGAATATTATGCTATGATATTGTTAAGCCTAGTCACCCTGCTGTGCTGTAGAACACCAGAGTACCTGTGCCTCATCTGAGCATCCCTTTGTAGCCATTTCCAATCCTCCTCAGAGCCTCTGGTACCCACTGTTGACATTGCTACTGTATGAGATTCACTTTGTTAGATTCCACGTGCATGAGATTGCACAGTATTTGTGTTTGTCTTCCTCTGCCTGGCTCATGTTTTTTAACTTAATGCCCTCCAGGTTTCTCCATCTTGCTGGTAGTGAACTGATGTCCGGAAGTTTGATGGCCGAAGAGTATACCGTTGTGCATATATCCTTCAATTCCTGATTTTATCATCTGTAGAAAGACAAGTAGGTTGATTCCCCACCTTGGTTATTGTTCAGAGTACTTCATGAAACATGGGAAGGGAGATACCTCCTTAAGGTAGGTTTCCTTGGCTTTGCAGGTATACCCAGTGTTGGGATGGCTAGAGGAACTGGTGGTTGTGTTGTTAATTGTTTCAGAAAACTCCAGCTGTTTCCCAGTGGGTATACAAATTTGCATTCAAACCAGTAGTATGTAATAGTTCCTCTGTCTGCAAATCTACACTGCCCTTATCTTCCAAAGTTTTATTGCTGTTTCTGGTCATACTCGTTCTCTGGGGAGAAACTCTTCTGATGTGGAGAAACTTCTGTTACCTGAGAGGCTGTTTCAGGTTTTTTCAGAAATGCCTATGCCAGTCTTTTGGGCATTTTTAGTATTGGTTTTTGTCCACTTAGGTGTGACAAGCATTGTATATTGGTTTTTGTCCACTTAGGACCATTAGTTTCTTGAATATGTTAGATAAGAAGCCCTTCCAGATCCACAGTTTTCCATAATTTTCTCCCAGTCTGTAGGATGTTTTCTGTTGGGTTCACTGTTTTCTCTCCAGTGTTGAAGCTGTGTGAAGCTCTGAAGTTGTCCTTAGTTTCACATGGTCACATTAGCTTTTCTTAGTGGTGATTTCTGTGTCCCTTTGAGGAGAAAAGCAAGATGGTGAAGCCATTATGTATGGTCTATGTGTATTTGGTTCCTATGTCTTCGTTTTCTGCTTGTAGCTGAGGTTCACAGGTTCAAGTTTCCCCACAGTAGACACACACCCTATGCGTTTTCCTTGGAGATTTTGGTTTCAGGATTGAACTTAGGTGTTCAGTAGATTTTGTGTCACTTTTTGTGTCTTGGGTAAAGGAAGGGTTCGGTCCTTTACACGTGACCCCCACCCCCCCCACAGTTTCCTCAACCATTGTGCCTTTGGTGTGCTTTTGGGGTAAAAGCAAGAATCCCATGGGTTCAGTGTTTATAACTGTGGGTTGATTATTTGGCTCCTTCGTTGTGTCCATTCTGTTATCTTTCTGTGTTCATGCCACTAAGAGGATGGATTGGGTCACTGTAGGCTTTTTGTTTTGTTTTGTGTGTTTTCTTCCTTTTTTCTATTTTTATTTCCAAAGCTGGGTTTTCTAAAATGATAGCTACTTTTATTGTGATCAAGGGGTACGCCTGCAGGTTCACTTCACTACATGGCTATACAGTAGAATTTTGATGCTTGAGGTCCTAACGTACCTGTCGTCCAGGCAGTGAACACAGCACCAGTTGGGTCTTTCTTCCTCCAAGGCTCCCTGTCTCCCTTCTTTTTCTGTCTGGTAGTACCCAACGTCTGTTGATTTCATATTGATGTTGATGTGCATTGGGTGTTGAGCTTCCACTTATAAATGAGAACCTGCAGTGTTTGGTCTTCTGTTCTTGCCTCAGTTGCTTAGCAGAGTGGCCTCCAGTTCCACCCATGTTCCTACTGAGGGCATGATTTTGTTTCTGTGTTTGATTTTCCTTAGTGGTTTTTTCAGCATTCTGTGATGTATAGGTACCACATTTTAAAAAATCCAATTTTCTGTTGGTGGGCATCTAGGTCAGTTCCACATCTTTATTCCTGTCAGTAACACTCCCGTGGACATGTGAGTGTCTGTGTCCTTTTGATAGATGCATGTGTTTTTCCCTGGGGTAGACGCATGGGGTGGGATTGCTGCGTCAAAGCGTAGCTCTGCTTTCTGTCCTTTTTTTTTTCCAGAAATCTTCAGACTGATTTCCACAGTTTGAGATCTAGTTTGCATTACCTCCAAGAGAATAGCCATGTTTGCTTTTCTCTGCTGCCACACCAGCATGTTATGTTTTGACTTAGGACAAATGGCCACTCTGACCAGCGTGTGATGGCACCGGTACCTCATCTCTGATGATTGGTGATGTTGAGCATTCCCCATGCCTGTTGGAATGGCAATCCCTTGGAAATGTCTTCTCAATAGTTACTACCCATAGGTATGTTGCTCAGGCCACTGTGTGGCCCCAGCACTTGGTTTGCATAGGGACTTGGGGATTGTTTGTCATCATTAGCCGGGACAAATGTTACACTGCTGTTCCTACAGTGAGTAGTGGGAGTGGCGTATGGGGGCATATGCTTATGTCCACAGTTCCATCAGAAATCCCACTGCCTTAAGACAGTCTTACGGAAACCGAGTCCCAGCCTTGCAGCACCGGGTAGCCCTGTGGCATTTTGACATTGAGTGTGTCTGCATTGTTGAAGTCACTCAGCATGTTGCCATGCGTTTATCCACTTAGGTCAACGTTAAGGGAAGTTCATCGCCTCTGCTTCTTCAGTAACTGATGTCTGGTGCATCAACTGAATGCATTTCAGGCTTTTCAGCAGTTCCCCCAGATCTATGGGTAAAAAAAGGTTTTCACCATGCCCACCTCCCCAGTGAGTGACGAATGTCTCATTGTTAATGCATCTGATGCACAGAGTTTAGTGGTCTGAGGGAGGTCAGTCGCCAAGTGGAGATTGAAATCACATTTGTATTTACATTATTACTTTTCTACAGTTTGGTTTGTTGCAGGCTTTCACACTACTAATCTGGGCTGAATCCTTGAATTACTTTGTCTACCAAGGGTTTCAAAGAACTTGATAAACTTGTTCTAATTAGCCAACATATTCATCCATGTTGTCCGTATACCAGGTGTAAAAATAAAACGTTTCTTAATGCACACAGGACATGGAAGGCAATCTACACATTTTCAGGTGTAGACTTTGCTTGTGACTCTTTTGTGAGGAATAGTCATTGTTACTTTAGGAAAACCCTGAGTTTATCCAACTCTTGTTAGAATTGGATAAGTGTAAAAACCTACAATAGAATGCAAGTGTGAGAGCCAATTCCTCTGGTAAAATAAACTCATATTATTATTTATATATGTCTGGTCATTGTATTAATAAAATCAGTTTGTTTTGGCTGAAACACATGGTTGGCCTTTACAATAGATGTGAAAATGGGCTTATAGATCATTGCTCTTTATTGTGAATATTAGGTTGTATTTATTGCCAAACTCTTTCAACAGCTTCTAAGCAGTGAATTTTCAGTGCATTGTTGTTGTTCTCCAAGTACAAGCAGCCACTTCAGTTTTACCACATTCATCTTCCACACACTGATGAACCATATGGAGGCAGCAGGAATTGAAGTAGAACCAGAGGGAGTAGTTAGGACAGACATTCTGATTCATTCATTCTGATTCTCACTATTGTCAGTGAGTAAAGGTTCATTGAATTTTTCTTCTGATGAATAAAATGGTCAGTTTTCTCAGTGCAATGGCTTACTTTTGGAAGAGCAGCTCTAAAGACTTTACTACTGATTAGTAAAGTCTAAACTGCTTTCTGTATTTTTTTTTAAATTCAACTTTTATTTTAGACTGAATAAAAATGTGCAGGTTTATCGTGTGATACTGAGTTTTGGGGTATGATTGAAGCCATCACTAAGGTAATGAGCATCTCACCTTCTCCTTCTGTTCAGTCTGTTACAGAGAACAGACCCTCCCAGTCTTCAGTGCACTCTAAATACTGGCTAATTCTGGCCAATGGAAGGCATCTGTGGAAGAAAAAAGCCTCAGATCATGTGCTGTCTGTCTTTATTCAGTGTGACATATTAGGTAATGGTCACAGACACTCACCATGGCCCCAGTTTTTAATAACATGACCCTGCTTTTGTGTTCCAGTAACTTCTGTTGTTTTCCCAATCCTAAGTATGATAGAAACTTCCTGCTGCTGCTAATCTCTGGGTTCCATTTAAAATCCTTCCATCACATGAATACTATGCTGTGTTCTAAATTTTTCCATAATTAAATACTTACAATTATTTTTGCCTACTTCTTTTGCCCCTTAGTGATATGTTTTAAAAACACTTATAATGTGTCACAATATATTTAGCAAATGTAGGGAATGACATTTTTACTTTCGTCAGCATTTACACTAGCATTTATGGAGCGATGCTATATAAAGTATTTTTAGTAATTTAAACGTTATATAACAGATATCCGTTGATTCCTTTGTTTCTACGTAAATAAGTATACTTGAGATATTCAGTAAACAGTATTGAATACATGTTTCATTTGTATAATATAAAATTATGATTATTCTTTTTAAACAGTACATCATATTTGCTTGTTGGCTTTATGATAACTTAGAAATAATATTCTGGATTAACTGTGTGACTCATGAGAAGATTTGTGCAACTATGTTTCCAAATTTACTTGATTTTCAAGACTTACACTAGAACTGTGAGAACAGGGTAATAAATAAGCATATGTATTAATATCACCTTTGGTCAACTCTTGGGTAGCCCCAACGGTAGTGTAGGAATTAACGTAATTTTTCCTACTAAAAGTATTGGATTTGTTTTGAGAGACCACAGTTGAAAATCATTGACATACAAAGTTTAAAAATTGTTAGGTTAAAAAATTTTAAATGCATTTGAAGTGGTTTTATAGAAAAATAATTATCTAACTTGGTTTATATTGACAGGTTGTTTTCTTGGATAAGAACTAGACGAAGAGAAAGGGAGATTAGTGATAAATGTCCAGGTTTTCAAGTTGAAAAGTAACAATCAGTGTATTACAACAGATGGATGTGATGTCAAATTACAAATGCTGAAAACGTTATATGTAATCATGTAGCCAGAGTAATCATACAAGGCAAAGAACGGAAAGGCATCCAAATAGGAAAGAGGCTGGAATGCAGTGGCACCATCTCAGCTCACTGCAACCTCCGCCTCCGGGTTCAAGTGCTGCTCCTGCCTCAGTCTCCCAAGTAGCTGGGACTACAGGTGCGTGCCACCACGCCCGGCTAATTTTTGTATTTTTTTAGTAGAGACAGGGTTTCACCATATTGGCCAGGCTAGTCTCGAACTCCTGATCTCGTGATCCACACACTTCGGCCTCCCAAAGTGCCGGGATTACAGGCATGAGCCACCGTGCCCAGCCAATATAGAGATAATCTTAAAGACTCCATAAAAAAGAAAAAAAGTGTTAAAGCTGATAAACGCATTGAAAGTTGAGAGTTACAAAATTAACATACAAATAGTATTCTTGTTTCTATACACCAATGACAAACTGTTAACTGAAAAACAAATGAATAAAGTAATTCATTTGATAATAGCATCATAACATATATAAGTAAATAAAAGACTAAGGAGTAATTTTAATGAAGGATGTGAAATATTTGTATACTGAAAATTTATAGCATTGTTGAAAGAAATTGAAAGTGACATAAGTAGAAAAACATCCCATATTTATGGATTTGAAAAATTAATATCGTCAAAATTTCAATGCTACCGAAAGCAATCTACAGATTAATGCAATCACTGTCAAAATCCCATGCCATTCTTCACAGAAATAGAAAAATTAGTCCTAAAATCTGAGTGGAACCACAAAAGACTCTGAAAAACCAAAGCAATCTTGAGCAAAAAGAACAAAGCCAGAGGCATCAGGCTACTTGATTTTAAACAATATTAAAAAGTTATAGTACTTAAAACAGCATAGCACTAGCATAAAAACAGACACCTAGACCAGTGTGAAGGAATGTAGAACCTGTAAATAAATCCATGTGTCTGTGGTCCGTTGATTTTTGATAAAAGGACAAAGAATACACAATGTGGAAAGAAAATTCTCTTCAATAAATAATGTAGAGAAAAACTGACTATTCACATACAGAAGAATAAAATTGGATTGTTATTTCACTCTTTATACCAACATCAAGTAGCAATGCATGAAAGACTTAAATATAAACCTGAAACCATAAAACCGCTACAAGCAAAGACAGGAGAAAACCATATGACAGTGGCCTCAGCTATGATTTTCTACAGATGACCCCAAAAAGTACAGGCAACAAAAGCAAAAATACACGAACGAGATGCCATAAAACTAAGAAGCTTCTCTGCACAGCAAAAGAAACAGTAATAGATTGAAGAGACAACCCACAAATGGGAAGAGAATGTTTTTAAACCATATCTCAGGTAAGGGGTTCATACCAATAATATGTAAGGAACTCAACCCAGAAATGAGAAAACAAGCTTACTAAAAAATAAGTAAAGGAGTTGAATAGACATTTTCTAAAAACAGACATACAAAAGGCCAGATTTTTATCAAAAATGTTGATAAAAAACATCAACATTCCTAATTATCAGAGAAATAGATGTCAAAACCATGAAGATATTATCTCACAGATGTTACTGAGGTTATTATAAAAAAGATGTGGCGGGGCACGGTGGCTCACACCTGAAATCTCAGCACTTTGGGAGTCCAAGGCAGGTGGATTGCCTGAGGTCAGGAGTTTTAGACCAGCCTGGCCAACATGGTGAATCCCCGTCTCTACTAAAAATACAAAAAATTAGTTGGGCGTGGTGGCATGCACCTGTAATTCCAGCTACTTGGGAGGGTGAGGCAGAAGAATTGCTTGAACCTGGGAGGTAGAGGTTGCAGTGAGCCAAGATTGCGCCACTGCACTCCAGCCTGGGTGACAGAGCAAGACTTCATCTCAGTAAATAAATAAATAAATAATTAAAAAATGATGGAAGATAACTATTGATTAGAATGTGGAGAAAACGGTTGTACACTGTTGGTCGGAATTGAAATTATTACCACCATCTTGGAAAATAGTATGAAGCTTTCTCAAGAAATTATAAATATATTTACATTATGATTCATCAATGCCTCTTCTGGATATACGTCTGAAGAACTTAAAATCAGTATGTCAAAGAGACATCTGCAATTTCATGTTCATTGCAGAGTTATTCATAATAGCTGTGATTTAGAAACAACCTAAGTGTTTATCAACTGAAGAATGGATTAAAAATATGTGAAAATTTGAAACCCTTATACACTGCTGATGAGAGTTTAAAACAGTCTGGCAGTTCTTCAAGAGGATAAGTATAGAATTACCATATGACTCAGTAAATTAACTCCTATGTATACACCAAAAAGAAATGAAAACAAATGTCTACTCAAAAGGTAGCATACAAGTACTTACAGCAACAAAAAGTGGGAAGCAACAGAAATGTCCATGAATTGCAGAGTGGATTAATAAAATGTGGTCTGTCCATGAAATACAATAGTATTTGGCAATAAAAAAGAAAAAGGTATTAATATACATGCTTCAAAAAGGATGAACGTTAAAAACATAAGTGAAAGCAGTGGGTCACACGTAACTATGTATTATTATGATTCCATTTACATGAAATGTCCGGAACAGGCAAATCCTTCCAGAGTAGGCAAATCCTTAGTTAGGAAGTGGGTGGATGGTTGCCTAGGGCTGGGAGGGGTTTCAAGGAAGTGGAGAAAATGGGAAAAGATTGCTAATGAGTGCAAGGTTTCTTTTAAGGAGCATAAAAATGTTCTAAAATTATATTGTGATTGTTTATCCACCCAGTTAATACACTAACAAATTGAAATGTACACTTTAAATGAGTGAATTAAATAACGTATAAATTACATCTCAATGAACTTGTGAAGAAAGTTAAAAAATATGTGATGCATACACAGATACACAAAAACTTATTGTATTTTTTTATTTCCATAGGTTTTTGGGGAACAGGTGGTGTTTGATTATATGAGTAACTCCTTTAGAGGTGATTAGTGAGATTGTGGTGCACCCAACACCTGAGCGGAATACGTTGTATCCAATTTGTAGTCTTTTATTCCTCACCTGCCTCCCACCGTTTCCCCCAAGTCCCCAAAGTCCACTGTAGTATTCTAATGCCTTTGCATCCTCATAGCTTCGCTCCCACTTGCGAGTGAGAGCAAACTGTGTTTGGTTTTCCATTCTTAAGTTACTTGACTTAGAATAGTAATCTCCGATCTCGAGAATCCAGGTTGCTGTGAATGCCATTATTTTTTTCCTTTTTATGGCTGTGTGTGTGTGTATATATTATATCGATAATATATATATAATAATTTCTTAATCTACTCATTGATTGATGGGCATCTGGGCTGGTTACATATTTCTGCAGTTGTGAATTGTGCTGCTATAAACATGCGTGTACAAGTATCTTTTTCACATAATGACTTCTTTTCCTCTGGTAGATAACCCAGTAATGGAATTGCTGGATTAAATGGTAGTTCTACTTTTAGTTCTTTAAGAAATTTCCACACAGTTTACTGTAGTGGTTGTACTAGTTTACATTCCCACCAGCGGTGTAAAAGTGTTCTTTTTTCACCATATCCCCACCCACATTTATTATTTTTTGATGTTTTCATTATGGCCATTCTTGCCAGGAGTAAGGTGGCATGGCATTGTGGTTTTGATGCATTTCCCTGATCATTAGTGATGATGAGCATTTTTTCATGTTTGTTGCCCATTTTTATATTTTCTTTTGAGAATGGTATATTCAAGTCCTTAGCCCATTATTGGAAGGGATTGTTTTTTTTCCTGCTGAGTTCTTTGTGGATTCTGGATATTAGTCCTTTCTTAGATGTATAGATTGTGAAGATTTTCTCCCATTCTGTGGGTTGTCTGTTTACTCTGCCAATTGTTTCTTTTGCTGTGCAGAAACTTTGTGGATTAATTAAGTCTCACCTGTTTATCTTCATTTTGTTGTCGTGCTTGCTTTTGGGTTCTTGGTCATGAAGTCTTTGCCCAAGCCAATGTGTAGAAGGGTTTTTCCAATGTTATCTTATAGAATTTTTATGGTTTCAGGTCTCAGATTTAAGTTGACTTTTGTATAAGGTAAGAGATGGGGATCCAGTTTCATTTTTTGGCATGTGGTTTGCCAGTTTTCCAAGCACCATATGTTGAATAAGGTGTCCTTTCCCCACTTTGTTTTTGTTTGCTTTGTCAAAGACCAGTTGGCTGTAAGTATTTGGGTTTATTTCTGGGTTCTCTATTCTGTTTCATTGGTCTATGTCCTTATTTTTATACCAGTATTATACTGTTTTGCTAACTATGGCCTTGTAGTATAGATTGAAGCCAGGTAATGTAATGCCTCCAGATCTGTTCTTTCTGCTTAGGCTTGCTTTGGCTATGCAGGCTCTTTTTTGGTTCCATATGAATTTTCGAATTATCTTTTCTAGTTCTGTGAAGAATGATGGTGATATTTTGATGGAAATTGCTTTCAAATTGTAAACTGCTTTTGGCGTTATGGTCATTTTTACAATATTGATTTTACCCATCTATGAGCATGAGAGGTGTTTCCATTTGTTTGTGTCATCTGTGATTTCTTTCAGCAGTGTTTTGTAGTTTTCTTTGTAGAGGTCTTTTATACTTCCTTGTTAGGTATATTCCTAAGTGTTTTATTTTATTTTTTTGCAGGTATTGTAAAAGGGATTGAATTCTTGATCTGATTCTCAGCTTGCACATCATTGGTGTATAGCAGATCTATTGATTTGGGTACATTAATTTTGTATCCTGAATTTTTGCTGAAATTATTTATCAGTTTAGGAGCTTTTTGGAGGAGTCTCTAGGTATACAATCATGTCATCAGCAAACAGTGACAATTTGACTTCCTATTTACCGATCTGGATGCCCTTTATTTCTTTCTCTCATTTGATTGCTCTGGCTGGGCCTGTCAGTGCTATGTTGAATAGAAGTGGTGAGAGTGGGCATCCTTGTATTTATTGTTCCAGTTCTCAGAGGAAATGCTTCTAACCTTTCCCCATTTAGTATTATGTTGGCTGTGGGTTTGTCACAGATGGTTTTTATTACCTGAAGCTATGTCCCTTCTGTGCATTTTTTGCTGAGGGTTTTAATTATAAATGGATGCTGGATTTTGTCAAATGCCTTTTCTGTGTTTATTGAGATGATTATGTGACTTTGCTTTTAATTCTGTTTATGTGATTATCACACTTATTGACTTGCCTGTGTTAAACCGGAAGAGCCAAGGTGTTCTCAGGAGCCACCGTGTGCCACGGCAGCTTCGGGATAACTTGAGGCTGCATCCTGGGGAAGAAACACCTCCTGTCCGTGGCGCTGACGGCTGAGGACAGAGCTTTGGTGTGGCTTCTCTGCGGCTGGCTTCTTCGGGGAGTTCTTCCATCATGGTGAGTACAGAAGCTTTCGTTTTCTGGAATGTTCTATGTATTCCTGATGGGTCTTCCTTTTTTCTTTCTTTCCATCTTAGTATGAATTTTATAGTAGTACTCAGTCCCTGAGGGCTTTTGAGGTTGGAAAGAGTAGGAGGCTTTAGGGCTGTTTCTGAGGGAGACTCCCCATGTAGATGGAGAGAGAGGAAAGCTCTGGCTGTGGGAGGAAGAGGAAGCCCGGCCTAGGTGGGGTTTTGGGACCAGGCCCCAGTTTGGCTGCCTTGCATCCAAGCCTCAGGTGGAAGGAAAGGATCCCAGCCACCTCCAGGGTTTGCTGATTTTTTAATTGGTTTTATTTTTTTGGAGATAGGGTCTGGCCCTGTTGTGCATCCTGGAGTGCAGTGGCAGATCTCAGCTCACTGCAGCCTCCACTTTCTGGGCTCAAGGGATTCTCCAGCCTCAGTCTCCCCATTAGCTGGGCTTGTGCCACCATGCCCAGCTATTTTTTTTTTTTCATATTTTTGCTGGCCACGGGGTTTCGCCATGTTACCCAGGCTTATCTTGAACTTCTGAACTCAAAGCAATCCTTCCACTTCGGCTTCCCTAAGTGCTGGGATTACAGGTGTGAACTACTGTGCCTGGTCTGCTGAATTTTGTTTTTCTTGTATTTTTGGTAGAGGCAGTGTTTCGCCATGTTGCCCAGGCTGGTCTCAAACTTCTGAGCTCAAAGCAGTCCTCTCGCCTCAGCTTCCCAAAGTGCCGGGATTACAGGCATGAACTACTGCAGGTGGTCTACTGAACTTTTACATTTGTTTCCCAGCCGTCGGGACATAGGGGTCACTTTTCTCAACACCCCCCACCCCCCACAGCGTCTGCCTAACTCTGTCCATCTAGTCACGGCCACCTGACTGTGGAGGAAGCGCCCTTCCATGTGGTTTAATGTCTTCTTTGCAGAAATGCCTATTCAGGTTCCCTGCTCAGTTTTGGATGGATCATTTGTTTGTTGTTGCTACTTAGTACTATTAATGTGTTGCATATTTTCCATAACAACCCCCATTAGCCGATATGTGATTTGTTCTCCCAGCCTTCCTCTTTGGGCTCATTGTTTCCTTTTCCTTGCAAAAAGTTTTCACTTTGATGTAGCCATGCATGTTTTTTTATGGCCAGGCGTGATGGTTCATGCCTGTAATCCAAGCACTTTGGGAGGCCAAGGTGGGCAGATCACTTGAGCCAAACAATTTGAGACCAGCCTAGGCAACGTGGCAAAACTTCATTTCTACAAAAAAATACAAAAAAATTAGCCAGGCGTGGTGGTGTGTGCCTGTAGTTCCAGCTATTCAGGAGGCAGAGGTGGGAGGATCACTTGTGCCGGAGAGGTCAAGGCTGCAGTGAGCCATGATCATGCCACTGCACTCCAGCCTGAGTGACAGAGTCCCTGTCTCAAAAAAATTTTTTTGATCTTTTTAGTAACATTCATTTCAATAAGAGTGAAATGACATCTGAGTGTGGTTTTGAAGTACTTTTTTTTGATGAACAGTGATGTTGAGGACCTTTTCTCTTACCTGTTAGTTTTATGTCATCTTTGCAGATAACTCTATTCAAGTTTTTTGCTCAATATGAGTTCAGATATGTATTTTTATGCTACTTAGTATTGCTTTTTTCTGTGTACATGTTTGGTAACAACAATTTATCACTTCTATGATTCCCTCAAATTTTCTAACAATTTTTTTTTGACACAGAGTCTCATTCTCTTACCCAGGCTGGAGCACTGCGGCATATCAGGGATTGTGAGTCCTCCAACTTAGTTTCTATTTCTCAGGATTCCTTAGACATTCAGGGCCATTTCCATGTGATCATTAGCATTGCGTATTCACATTTCTTAAATTTCTGTGCGTAATAAAGTATATAATTAGAGAGTATGCTGGGACTGTTTTTCCTCTGGGACATTTTGGTACATGTATATTTTTAGTAATGATCAAATCAGGGTACTTGCTGTATCTGTTCTCATACAGGTATTATTTCTCTGTTGTGATAACACTCAAATTGCTCCCTTCTAGCTTTATTGAAAAATGTACTATTTTGTTAACCAGAGTCACCCAGCTGTGGTATAGAATGCAAGAATGTGTTTGTCCCAACTAACTGCAACTTTGTTTCCATAACCAATCCTTCCATCTCCTCCTTCCCCTGTCTTCGGAAAACCACTACTGTACCTTGTACTTATTGAAGGCAAAGTTTTTTGGATTCCATATAAGTGAGATGAATTTGCTTGTTTTTCTATGCCAGGCTTATTTTATTTAACAATATATTTTCCAGGTTCATCCATATGGCTCCAAATGAAAATTACATTATTTTGTTAAGGATGAAGAGTATTATTGCATTGTGCAGATACACTGCAGTGTCTTCATCTCTTGATGTGTGGTTGGATAGGTAGGTTCATTCCATATCTTCTATATTGTGAATAGCGCTTCATAAAACATGGGAAGGCAGATAATTTTTTATGGTACCAGTTGCCTTTGCTTTAAATGCATACCCAGTATGAGAAGCTCCCAAGTTTTTTTCACAGTATGTTCACCAATTTACATCGACATCAATAGCATATATGAGTTTCCCTTTCTGTAAGTCTACACTGGTTGCTGCCGTCCAAAATTTTTATTGCTGTTTGGGTAATATTCATTCTCAGTGGAGTTTGATGGTATCTGATATCGGAGTGTGATTCTGACTTACATGTTTGGAGTGATTAGTGATGTGGAGAAACTTCTGTTTCACCTGTGAATCAGTTTCATGTCCTTTGCAGAGGTGGTTGTGTATATCCTTTGCATATTTTTAGCTCGTGTATTTTTTTTTAATCTTTTCCCCACTTAGTAGCTTTAGTGCTTGAATATGTTAGATAACAACCCTTTCCAAAATTATGATTTTCCACAGTTTTCCCCCAATCATCCTTTCCGCCAAGGTAGGATGCTTTCTCTTTGGGGTCATTGTTTTCTCCCACATGCGGAAGCTCTAAAGTGTTGGTCTCACAGGTTTATATTTGCTTTTGTCAGCATGGATTTCTGTGTCTCATGAGAGAGAGAGAGAGAGAGTGAGAGAGAGAGAGAGAGAGAAAGTGAGAGAGAAAGAGATGGCAAAGTCATTGTATTTTCTATGGGTATTTTCCCCCTAAGTGAGAACATGTGGTATTTGGTTTTCTGTTCTTTCCTTAGTTTGCTTAGCATAGTGGCCTGCAGGTTCATCCTTCTTGCTGCCGAGAGCATGAATTTGTTTAAGCTGTGTAGGATTTTGCAGTATCTATATACAACACTTTAAAACATCGAATCAACTGTTAAAGGGAACATAGGTCAATTTTATTTTATTTTTTCTTGTGAATAGCACTACCAAGAACATACCCATGTCTGTGTCATTTTGAAAGAAGGGTTTATGATTTAGTTTCCTCTGTCTAGATACCCAGTTATGCGATTGCCCATTTGGATGGTAGTTGTTAAGTTTTTTGAGGAACCTCCAAACCGCTTCTCATAGTGTGAGAACTAGTTTTTATTCCCTCCAAGAGTGTAGCAGTGTTTGCTTTCCTCCGCTGCCTTGTCAGCATGTAAATGTTGGACTTTGGACAAATGGCCATTCTGACCGACGGGAGATGGTATCTCAGTGTGTGTGTGAGTTGCATTTCTCTGATGATGAGTGATGTTGAGGGTTTTTTTTGTCTATTGGTCACTTGTACATCTTATTTTTACAAGAACGTCTTCATGTCTTTTACCCATTGTTTGATTGGCTTATTTGTCTTTCTGCCTCTTGATTTTTTTAAGGTCACGTTAGAGTCTGGCTATTAGGTCTTGGTCAGAAGCATAGTTTGGGAACATTTTCTCCCATCCTGTAGGCTATGTTTTTACTGTGCTGGTGATTTATTTTGCTGTCTGGCAGTGTTTTAGTTTCTTAGGCCCAACTTGTCCATTTTGGTTTTTCTTGCCGTTGCTCTTAGGGACTAAGTTATTTAAATTCTTTACCAAAGCCCATGTTGAGAAAGGTATTTCCTAGTTTTTCTTGTAGGACTTGTATAGTTTGTAGTCTTCTGCTGAAATCTTTCATTCACCTTGAGTTAGTTTTTGCATCTTGTGAGAGGTAAGGCTGTAGTGCTGTTCATCTGCAAGTGGCTAGACACTATCCCAGTGCCATTCATTGCACAGTGAGCCCTTTCCACATCTGAATTTTGGTGTTTCAAAGGTCAGATGGTTGTGGGTATGTGGGGTTGCTTCTGGGTTTCCTATTCTGTCTAGGTGGAGGTGGGTCTGTAGCTTTTCTGTGAAATTTGAAATTGGAGAGTGTGGTCCATCTGACATCGTCTGAATCTCCCAGCCTGGCTTTGGAGTTTCAGAGCATTTTGTGGTCCCATGGGAATTTTAGCATTCATTGTTTCTTCACATTGCTTTCAAAAAACAAAATCGACCCCATCCTAAAGGTGTACAGGTAGGGGGTAGAGTGGAATATTTGGATCCATGCATGCATCACATAGTGATGAAATCAGGGTATATAGTGTCGTTTTTGGCCTTGTAGAGTGTTCCTGTCTTTGAGTTGAGGAGAGCCAGAACCCTTCTTTCTGGCTGTCTTGAAAACTATCCTCTGGTAAAGTTTTCTCTAGTCACCCTGCTGAGGAATAGAACAGCAGGTTTCCATTTCTCTTATGCAATGTGTCACTTTGTACCTGTTTCCTGTCCCCACCCATGCCCAGCCTTCTGTTCCAACCCTGGCAAGCACTATGGTGCTTTGTAGGTCTATGTGAGATTAAAGGGTCTTAGATTCCCCATGACTGAGGTAATGTGAGGTTTGTCTTTCTCTGCCTAGTGACAGACATTTAACATAATGTCCTCCAGGTTCCACAGTGTTGCCACAGATGACGTGATTTCAGTACCTGTGTATGGCTGAAAAGTGTTTGTTTGTGAATGGATATTGCGGTTTCTGGATCTCATCCTCTGCAGGTGGACAGGTAGGTTGATTCCTTATCTTGGCTATTGCGACTGGTTCCAGAGTCAGCATGGGAAGGCAGATGTGTCTTCTGTGTACTGATGACATATGATTCCAGTGCACACCCTGCGGTAGCGTGGCTCGGTGAAATGGTCGTTGTATTTTTAGTTTTAAGAGGAGCCTCCAGGTGGCCTCTGTAGTGTGCGTACTAATTTACCTTGCCAACAGTTGTGGATAAGAGAGCTCCCCTCTCTGGAAATTCACAGCAGCATTTGTGGTTTCCCTTCTTTTAATATATATGAAGTTCTTTGTAATACTCTTTCCTTTGAGAGGGACACGATATCTGAGTCTTGTTCTGATTTTCATTTTTCTTATGATTAGTGATACTAACTAGGTGTTAACAAGTACATTTGTTTTCAGTGTTGTGTGTTCTTTGCAGAAAAGACTCTTTGGTTTCTTTGCCCAATTTTGGTTTGCTAATTACCTTCTCTTTTCTGCTGTTTTCTGCTAGTTAGTAGTGTTAGTTACTTACACCTTTTCCAAAAGTCTCCTTAGCTGTGTTTTCCCTGATATCTTTCTTATCATCCTTTGGATGTTTGTTTCTTTTCATTCATTGTTTTCGTTCTTTCTTGCCCCCAAGCCATATAGTCTGATGAGTCTGATGCGTATTCAGGGGTGTGCAGTGTTGTGGTTTTCCACCACGTTGGTTACTGATGAAATAAAGGAAATTCACTAGCATACGAATCTGTTGTGAGTTTTGCTTGTTTGTTGTTTGTATTCTTTTCTTTCCTCCATATTTTTTCGTTTTCGTTTTTGCAAACTGTAAGCATAGATCCAGGTTGACCCAGGTATCTGCACACCATATACTTTCTTCTCAGAGAGTGATAGTTTCAAGTTTTGGGTATAGGTCTTTCATTCATGTTGAATAGATGGTTGTGAATTTCACACAATAAGGACCCTATGTTGTTATTTTGCCTAGGGATATCCAGTTCTCAGAACGCTGTATTGGACAGACTCTCCATTCCTGTGGTGACTTTTGCGGTTCTTTCTAAACATGTGCTTACGCTATATCAATTTGAATTTACTCCTGGGCATCCTCATTGTGTCCGTTGGCCTGTGTTTCTCTGCTAATGCCTATCACAAATCATCTGGGTAACTAAAGTTTTGGGAAGTAGTTTAAAGTGGAAGAGTGTTATGGCTCCACCGACTTTGTGTGTGTAGGAATCTGGGTAACTAAAGCTTTGGGAAGTAGGTTAAAGTGGAAGAGTGTGATGGTCCACTGACTTTGTATGTGTAGGAATCTGGGTAACTAAAGCTTTGGGAAGTAGTTTAAAGTGGAAGAGTGTGATGGCGCTCCACTGACTTTATGTGTGTAGGAATCTGGGTAACTAAAGCTTTGGGAAGTAGTTTAAAGTGGAAGAGTGTGATGGCGCTCCACTGACTTTGTGTGTGTAGGAATCTGGGTAACTAAAGCTTTGGGAAGTAGTTTAAAGTGGAAGAGTGTAATGGCGCTCCACCGACTTTATGTGTGTAGGAGCTGCTTTGGGAGTGCGGGGCACTTCGTTGTCCCACAGGACTTTCAGAAATGTGATGTGATCCTATTTGAAAACAAAAATTTCACATGGTCTATGCTTTTACTTTAAGGGTGCAAGGGACCGTTTGACATATGGATCAGTGCTGTTGTGATCAGATTACAGGAACTCGCGTCTTTGTTTCAGGCTACAGTGAGGATTTCTTGGTGGAGAGCGTACCCCGATCACCCCTTCACGCTATATCGAATATCATGCTAGGGTATTGTTAAGCCTAGTCACCCTGCTAAGCCGTAGAACACCAGAATTCTTGCCATTCATCTGAGTGTCACTTTGTAGCTGTTTCCAAGCCTCCCCTCAGCCTCTGGTACGCACTGCTGACGTTGCTCCTCTATGAGATTCACTTCGTTAGATTCCACGTGCGTGAGATTGTGCTGTGTTTGTGTTTGTCCTCCTGTGCCTGGCTCATTTCCTTTAACTTAATGTCCTTCAGGTTTCTCCACCTTGCTGGAAGTGACCTGATATCCAGAAGTTTGATGGCTGAAGAGTATACCATTGTGCTTGCGTCCTTCATTTCCTGCATTTCTTCCTCCATGGATGGACAGGTAGATTACCTCTATACCCTGGTTATTGTCCAGAGTACTTCATCAAACATGGGAAGGCAAATATCTCCTTAAGTTTCAAGTTTCCTTGGCTTTGCCGGTATACCCAATGTTGGGATGGCTAGAGGAACTGGTAGTTGTATTGTCGTTTCAGAAACCTCCTGCTGTCTCTCCCAGTGGATATACAAATTTGCATTCCTACCAATAGTGTGTGAGAGTTTCTCTGTCTGCAAATCTACACTGCCCTTATCTTCAAAAAGTTTTATTGCTGTTCCTGGTCATACTCGTTCTCTGGGGAGTTTGGCAGTATCTGAGTGTGGTTGGGATTTACATTTAGGGGATGATTACTGATGTGGAGAAACTTCTGTTACCTGCAAGTCTGTTTCAGGTCTTTTCAGAAATGCCTATGCCAGTCCTTTGGGCATTTTTAGTGTATGTATTGTTTTTTATGATTTTTTCCACTTAGGACCATTAGTTTCTTGAATATGTTAGATAAGAAGCCCTTCCAGATCCACAGTTTTCCATAATTTTCTCCCAGTCTGTGGGATGTCTTCTGTTGGGTTCACTGTTTTCTCTCCAGTGTTGAAGCTGTGTGAAGCTCTGAAGTTGTCCTTAGTCTCACGTGGTCACATGAGCTTTTGTTAGCGGTGATTTCTGTGTCCCTTTGAGAAGTAAAGCGAGATGGCAAAGCCATTGTATGGTCTACGGGTAGTTGATTCCTATGTGTTTTCTGTTTGTAGCTTAGGTTCACAGGTTCAAGTTTCCCCACAGTAGACACACACCCTATGCGTTTTCCTTGGAGGTTTTGGTTTCACAATTGCTCTTTGGTGTTCAGTGGATTTTGTGTCATTTTTTGTGTCTTGTGTAAGAGAAGGGTTTATTTCAGTCCTTTGCACATGAACCCCCCAGTTTGTTCAACCATTGTGCCTTTGGTGTGCTTTTGGGGGAAAAGCAAGAATCCCATGGATTCAGTGTTTATAATTGTGGGTTGATTATTTGGCTCCTTTGTTGTGTCCATTCGGTTATCTTTCTGTGTTCATGCCACTAATGGATGGATTGGGCCACTGTAGGCTTTTTCTTTTGTTTTGTGTGTTTTCTTGTATTTTTTTCCTTTTTTTCCATTTCCATTTCCAAAGCTGGGTTTTCTAAAATGATAGCTACTTTTATTGTGATGGAGGGGTGTATGCCTGCAGGTTCATTTCACTACATGGCTATACAGCAGACTTTTGATGCTTGAGGTCCCAACTTACCCGTCACCCAGGCAGTGAACACAGCACCAGTTGGATCATTCTTCCTCCAAGGCTTCCTGTCTCCCTCCTTTTTCTGTCTGGTAGTACCCAACGTCTGTTGATTTCATCTTTATGTTCGTGTGTGTTCAGTGTTGAGTTTCTGCCTGTAAGTGAAAATCTGTGGTGTTTGGTCTTTTGTTCTTGCCTGAGTTCGCTTAGCAGAGTGGCCTGCAGTTCTATCTATGTTGCTGCTGAGGGCATGATTTTGTTTCTGTGTTTGATTTTCCTTGGTGGCTTCTTAGTATTCTGTGGTGTATAGGTATCACATTTAAAAACACCTGATTTTCTGTTGGTGGGCATCTAGGTCAGGTCCACGTCTTTATTCCTGTGAGTAGCACTCCCATGAACATGCAAATGTGTGTGTCTTTTTGATAGACACATGTATTTTTCCCTGGGGTAGATACACAGGGTTGGATTGCTGGGTAGAAGGGTAGCTCTGCTTCCTTTCCCTCTTCGTTGTTGTTGTTGAGGAATCTTGAAACTGCTCTCCGCAGTGTGAGACCTAGTTTGCATTACCCCAAGAGTGTAGCTGTTTTCGCTTTTATGTACTGCTACACAAATATGTTTTGTGTTTGGACAAATGGCCATTCTGACTGGTGTGTGATGGCACTGGTACCTCATCTCTGATGATTAGTGATGTTGAGCATTTTCTCGTGTCTGTTGGTCTTTTTTAGGTCTTGTTTTGACTAGTGTGTTTGTATCATTTGCCCATTTTTTACTTGTGTTATTTTTCTGCTTCTTGATTTAGGTAAGGTCCTCTAGATTCTGGCTGTTAGAACTTGGTCAGATGCTTGGTTTGGGAACATTTTCTCCCATCATGTAGGCTATGTGTTTACTGTGTTGGCAATTGCTTTGCTGTGCAGCAGGTCCGTAGTTTCTTAGGCCAGACTTGTACTTTTTGTTTTTTCTTGCATTTCTTTTGGGTACTAAATTGTCTTAAGTGGTTTGCAAAAGCCTATGTTGAGAAAGGTGTTTAATAGGTTGTCTGTTAGGACTTTTATATTTGAAGTCTTCTATTTCAGTCTTTGGTTCATCTTGAGTTAATTTTCCATATGATGACAAGCAGGGCTGCAGTGTTAATTGTCCCGCACATGGCTAGTCATGTATCCCAGTGCCATTCATCGCATAGTGAGCCTTTTCTTTCTTATTTCTGTGGTTTTGTCAAAGGTCAGATGGTTGTACTTCTGCCAGGCTACTTCTGCATTTTCTAACTTGTCTAGGTGAAAGCTAGGTCATTTTTTTTCTGTTACGATCTATTCTGATTTCTTGGGTTCAAGAACAGATAAATAAATTTTAGAAACTGAAGAACCCACTTAGACATTCTCAAGGTTAGAAACCATCACCATCATCCTATTCTGTGATGCTATGGACTTTATTGAGTTACATCTTTGCCCTTTTCCCTCAAGTCTCTCCTCTGGATTTATTTTGTGAAATTAGATTCTGAATCACATTTTGTTGCATAAACTGTGCTTGAGCAAAAAAAAAATTTTTTTTTCTAAAAACATCCTTAGTATACATGGGGTGAAGAACAACAAACGTGTCTCCTCTTTCCACTAGTCACACCATTACACTCCTTTCCAGCCTCTTTGCTGCTGCATATGGCCATTCAAATGAGCCCTGGCTAAGTACATGTCGATAGAAGTTAATGTTTGCTTCTTGCAAGCCTGGCCCGTGATTCTATGTTCTGATTTAGAACATTCTGATTTAGAACATAAAAAGGAAGTGAGACTTGCTGAATGAGACAGAGAAAGCACTCTTGAACGCTTCCTCTGACAAGCTCCGAGGCACACTAGTTGTCTTGCAGTGCTTTGGACAGCTACTCATTTGTTGGACAATAATTTCCCAACATGGGGACAACCCAGAACATTTTCCACGTTCATATTCTGCTTCAGTTGCTCATGGTTTTGGTCAAAGCTAGACAGTGACTAATGCAGGAGACTCAGACCCCAGGCCAGCGTGGAGTCCTGTGGTTGAAGACAGGCTGGACCGTCAGAGGAAGAAAACAGCCATTTTTTCTGGATTTTCACTTTCTCTGTTTTCAGGAAACCTGAAGCCGGTTATGTTATTCAGGCATGACTGAAAAGAGATTATTTTGAGTTGTTTTGGTGGCACCAAGAAATGTGCCAATGTGACGGCCAAAAAAGCAGAAAGACCAAGGCATTGAGTGTGGGAGAGCCACTGATGATGCTGGGTTTGGTAGGCTTTTCGAGATCTCCCAGCCCCAAAACAGCCAAGCAACTTTGTCCTGGGTTGTGAGTGGGCTCAGCCCCTGTGTACACCCATGCTTGGATTCTGGCACACATGGCACCCACAGGAGGCAACGCCCCCTCCAGGAGACCGGTTGGCAGGACCCTGTCTCCACACGTGAAGACAGCAGGCAGAACCCACACGTCCTCTACTTCTCCCAGTGCCAGTCACCCGTGGGGGTTCACGATGAGACCCACAGGTCCAACCTGCAGGCAGAGTTACCACCCCAGCCTGAGTCAAAGTGGACCTTTTTCTGCCAGAGGGGTCTGCTTTCCCATTGGCCAAAATGGCCTCAAATGACAGGGACAGAACAAGGCACAAGTGCCCATTAGAGTGTCTGAGCCCACCTGCTGTCTGCTCCCACACATCTCCTGAGAGGTCCCAGCAGGCACCCAGGCCTGGGCCACAGCTTACCCCACATTCAGAAGTGGATAGCACAGCTGCCCTGTGCAGGCCTCAGGGAGGAGAGGGAGAAAGAGAGATGACAAAAGCAAGACAGAAGAAATGCAGCAAAAGCACACACACACACACACACACGCACACACACACTGACACTCATCTGGGGCAGGCCATCCTGTCACCATGACGAGCAGTGCAGGCAGCCGAGAGCCGGGCAGGAGGCGGTGCCGCTGTCCCCTGAGTTAGGGTCTGGATCCAGGGAAGAATATAGAGTCCATAGAGTCAAGGGCCACTGACCTCAGGACCTGCAGTTTGCAGGGAGGGGATGCTGTGAGAAGAACTGTTCCACGTCACAGCTAAATATGTCTGACTTCAAGAAAATATTTCAAACCAAAGTACATTTATGGAAGATTCTCGATGATATAAAAAAAGCACAGTTTAGAAAATGTGAAAGCAATCACTGGACAGATTCATATATTTTCATCTAAATTTAGTTACAGAGTTTTTCTAAAACTGGGATCAGGCCAGGTATGGTGGCTCAGGCCTGTAATCCTAGCACTTTGGGAGCCTGAGGCAGGAGGATCACTTGAGACTGGGAGTGGGAGACCAGCCTGGGCAACATGGTGAGACCCCTTATCTCTACCAAAAATACAGAACTTGGCCAGTCATGGTAGCACGCCCCTGTAGTCCCAGCTACTCAGAAGGCTGAGGTGGGAGGATTGCTTGAACCTGGGAGGTTGAGGCTGCAGTTAGACAAGATTGCACCACTGCATTCCAGCCTGGGTGACAGCCCGTCTCAAAAAATAATAACAATAATTCCTGATTTTAATAACGATTCTGGAGTTGTGTAGGTTCTCACTCACGTGGGAGCTAAAGAAACTTGATCCCATGGACAAAGAGAATACAATGGCAGTACCAGAGGCCGGGAAGACTGGGTATGTGGAAGGGAGAATGAAGAGAAGTTGGCTATTGGGTACAAACCTACATTTAGAAGAAATAGGCTGTAATGTTTGACAGCAGGCTGTGGTGGCTAAGTAATATTATTATGTGTAAATATTCAAAGTAACCAAAATACACATTTTATGCATGTAACAAGTATTTGTATGTACCCTACAAAGAGGTAAAATATTATGTGTCAGTAAGATGGAGAGGTTATGCCCAAGCCTCCAGAGAGGGGCTCCTTGGATCCACACAGCACATCTTGCCCACCTGCATCCATTGCTGCACTATGCTCGTCATATCTGGGCCTTCATGTTCTGGTCCCCAAGGCAGGTGATGCTGACTCAGGTGGCCACACTGTGGACCTGGGTGTTGGTGGCCCAGAGGGTGGGTGCTAGAGGCTTCCTGCCCTTCTTGTTCCACTGGGACCAGATGGAGCCAGGCAGTGACAGGCTACCACCTTCTTGACCAGATCCTGGAACACAGGAGTGTCTCACCTGGCCCCTCGTCATCCCAACTTAGCACCCAAAGTACCTTCGGGCCTGGACCATGGCTGGGCCGGAACTCAGGATGGTTAGGATGCAGCTCAAGCCTTGTGGCATCTCTGGGTTCTCTGTCCACTGAGGGTGCCCTGGGACACAAAGCTGGTGGGAAGAGGTTGGCATTTCCCCAGCCTATCCTTACTCATGCCAAGCACCCCAGACTGTCCTTCCTGGTGCATTGCCCTGGTCACATTCCCCAGGGCAGCTCAGGGCTTTGTTTAGGGATTTCCCATAGTCAGGTGCCTGATAAGTGTTGAGATGTGCAAGGCCACGTGGGCAGATGGGTAGGTACTCTTTGTTGAGCACCCCCAGCAGGGCAGTCCCCCACCCAGGTGTCTACCTGCTCCTGCTTGTGTTTGACTGTTACAGCACCTCATGCCAGGGCCACCAGCTCCCATCCCTCCTGTCAGGAAGGACACAGACAGCAAGCGTCTGGGGGTAAGGCATTTGCCAGGTGACACAGGTGGCGAGTGCCGGAGCTGGGATTTGAACCCGGATCATGGCACTCTGTATGGGGCAATGGAAGGTTTGAGGATGCCCATGTAGGAAGGAAGGGCAATGTGGCCCCACTGAGCCCAGCTGCTCCCTGTGAGCCTGGAGGAAATTGCTCAGCCCCCCAGCTGGGGGGAGAGTCCAGGAGGCCAGGCTTCCTCTTGCTTCCTGGCTCAGGGGATCACAGAGGAACAAGGAAATTTAGTGTGTGTGTCTTCTTTTTGTTTCATTCAAAATTTAATTTAGTATCAAGCAAGAGGAGCTTTAGCTTAACCCTGCATATCAGGCAAGATTTCACTTACAAAATAGTACCTTTTTTTTTTTTTGCACTTGTGATTGGCTTTTCCTCTACTTCTTTTGGTAAGAGCAGGTTGGTGTCCAGGCTCAGAATCCATTTTTCCTCCCACACCAAAGCACCTGTGGTTTGGGTGAAGCAGACTGGAGCCTGGCTGCATAAAGCTTTGCAGCAGGAGAGTCCTGGCAGGAGCGTTGAAGTGCCACTGCCCTGGTCCAGCTCAGAGGCCAGCACCAGGGAGGCTCAGTGTCTTTTTCTCAGGATCTGCACATGGGGTTGCCTTTCTGCATCTCCCCATCAGTGGTAGGTGCTCCTCCAAGCCCCCTCTTGCTGGCCTGGACACAGCGGCCTGCACCTTGACCCTATTGCATGCCAGTGGAGCAGAGCCCCCCAGGCCAGAAGCCCCACAGATGTTGGCCCTGGCTTGGACAGGCAGGGGGCACCGGGGCAGGAGCTGGCTGCGATCCTGTGGCCCCAAATGCCCCCTCGCTGATGGCCTCGTGTTCTGGGTGTGGAGCAAGGAGGAGCAGGTATCGAAGGCACCTCAGGCAGGTGCTGGGCTCGGTGGGCGTCTTGTGCTCCATGATTTTTTTTTTCAAATTTTATTATTATTATACTTTAAGTTTTAGGGTACATGTGCATAACGTGCAGGTTTGTTACATATGTATACATGTGCCATGTTGGTGTGCTGCACCCATTAACTCGTCATTTAGCATTAGGTATATCTCCTAATGCTATCCCTCCCCCCTCCCCCCACACAACAGTCCCCGGTGTGTGATGTTCCCCTTCCTGTGTCCGTGTGTTCTCGTTCCATTCCCACCTGTGAGTGAGAACATGCTCCGTGATTTTGAGGCCATTTGCAGCCAGCTCCGCCAGCCGGTGCTCTGAGCTGCAGCAGCGGCCATGCACAACAGCACCACCAGGAGTGTCCTGGGGGCTTTCTTCAGAGGAGGCTGTCAGCATCCTCAAGTTCCAGCCACTTAGCCCCAGTCCTGCTTCAAGAAGCTTTTTCTTTCACCAGAGGCTTCTCAATGGCCTGAAAGCTCGGCTGACTCCCAGGAAGTTTGCCGGGAACACCAGGCTGTCAGTGACATTTGTGGTTCCAAGACTTATGCAGGTTGCACGCATCCGCAACTGTCTGTGCCACGTGTACTGACACCACCAGAGATGCGCACGCCGCACGCGCACGCCGCACGCGCACGCCGCACGCGCACGCCGCACGCGCACGCCGCACGCGCACGCCGCACGCGCACGCCGCACGCGCACGCCGCACGCGCGGCAGTGGCTTGGCTGGCTTGTAACGGCTTGCACGTGCATGCCGCGCGCGCACGCCACACGCGTGGCAGTGGCTTGGCTGGCTTGTAAGGGCTTGCACGTGCATGCCGTGCGCGCACGCCGGACGCGTATAACGGTTTGGCTGGCCTGTAACTGCTTGCACGCGCATGCCGCACGTGCGTAATGGCTTGGCTGGCCTGTAATGGCTTGCACGCGCATGCTGCACGCGCGTTAACGGCTTGGCTGGTCTGTAACAGTCGGCATGCGCACACTGCACGTGCGTAACGGCTTGGCTGGCCTGTAGCGCTTGGCTTGGCTTTGCGTTCTTTGCTTGGCTTGGCATTTGTCGCTTGGATTGACATTTCTTCCTTGGACTGACGTTTTTTCTGTCACGTTACTTTGCTGGACTTGACCTTTTCTCTTCTGGGTTTGGCATTCCCTTGGGTGGGCCGGGTGTTTTCTTGGGGGGTGGGGTTGGCCCTTCCTGGGGTGGGCGTGGGGTCGCCCAGCGTGGGTGTGGGCTTTCCCCAGGTGGGTGTGGGTTTTCCCTGGGTGGGGTGGGCTGGGCTCCCCTGCTGGGGTTGGCAGGTTTTGGTCGGGACTTTTCTCTTCAAACAGATTAGAAACCCGGAGTTATCTGCCAGTTGGTGAAACTGGTTGGTAGACGCGATCTGCTGGCTACTACCGGCCTTCCCTGGCTGTTAAAAGCAGATGGTGGCTGAGGCTGGTTCAATGCCGGCTGCCTCCTCTGTGAAGAAGCCATTTGGTCTCAGAAGCAAGATGGGCAAGTGGTGCCGCCACTGCTTCGCCTGGTGCAGGGGGAGCGGCAAGAGCAACGTGGGCACTTCTGGAGACCACGACGATTCTGCTATGAAGACACTCAGGAGCAAGATGGGCAAGTGGTGCTGCCACTGCTTCCCCTGGTGCAGGGGGAGCGGCAAGAGCAACGTGGGCACTTCTGGAGACCACGACGATTCTGCTATGAAGACACTCAGGAGCAAGATGGGCAAGTGGTGCTGCCACTGCTTCCCCTGCTGCAGGGGGAGCGGCAAGAGCAACGTGGGCACTTCTGGAGACCACGACGACTCTGCTATGAAGACACTCAGGAGCAAGATGGGCAAGTGGTGCTGCCACTGCTTCCCCTGCTGCAGGGGGAGCGGCAAGAACAAAGTGGGCCCTTGGGGAGACTACGACGACAGCGCTTTCATGGAGCCGAGGTACCACGTCCGTCGAGAAGATCTGGACAAGCTCCACAGAGCTGCCTGGTGGGGTAAAGTCCCCAGAAAGGATCTCATCGTCATGCTCAAGGACACTGACATGAACAAGAAGGACAAGCAAAAGAGGTAACCAGGCCTGGGCTGGGAGGAGGTGGGATGTGGGAGGATGATGGGGACATACCCTCCTGGCCGGGGAGGAGGGGAGCCTGGTTTTCTTGCCTCCACAGGCCTCACACCACCCTGGATGTGGAAACCTCAGAGAGTTCAGGGCACAGGCCCCTTTATGAGCAGCAACACAAAAACAAAACTTTAGCTGATTTCCAATCAAATCATAATTTCCTTCCTAGAACACGAATAGACTGTTTTGAAGTGATTTAACTCGCAACGTTGTCGATGCAGCAGATTATTTTTAATGTACAGATTTTAAAACAATGTTCTATACATTAAAAAAGTGTATATTGAGAACTAAGAATGAAGCCCCATAACACATCAACTTCAGGGCTAAATATTCTTCAAATAAAATCCAGTATGGATTTTATATCAATGTACACTATGTAAATATGTTCTTTACTGAGTAATCTTAGAAGGAAACTGAAATGGGAAGATGGTTCTTGTGCTTGAATAGGAAGATTGAATTTTCTGAAGATGTGAGCTTTTTGGCTGGGCGTGGTGGCTCACACCTGTAATCCCAGCACTTTGGGAGGCTGAGGAGGGCAGATCATGGGGTCAGGAGATCGAGACCATCCTTGCTAACACGGTGAAACCCCGTCTCTACTAAAAAATATAAAAAAAATTAGCTGGACGCGGTGGCAGGCACCTGTAGTCCCAGCTACTCAGGAGGCTGAGGCAGGAGAATGGCGTGAACCTGGGAGGCGGAGCTTGCAGTGAGCCGAGATCACGCCACTGTAGTAGAGCCTGGGAGACAGAGCAAGACTCCGTCTCAAAAAAAAAAAAAAAAAAAAGTGAGCTTTTTCTATTTATCACTTTTACTTAAGCCAAATAAAAATAGCAGTTTTAGAGTTTTTAAATTACACATGCTGTCTTTTATTATTGTGCTAAGTTAATTTTTTTGTAGCAGAATGGACAAAGGCTTGCTTTTCCAGATGTCAAAATGTGCATGTTATTTATTTCCACAAATTGTTTACTAACAGCTGAAAAGACATCAATGAATAAAACAGAACAGGAAATTTAGAAATACCGAAATATATGTAGGAATTTAGCGCTTGATAATGGTGATGTTTTGTATTATTTAAAAAAGATGGATTGTTCATAATTCATTTTTGGAGAAAACTAGCTAGATGTTTATATCACAAAAATCAGAGTATAGATTAAAAATTTTAAATATACAAAAAGAGAAACATACCAGAAGAAAACACAAGTGCCTATTTACATATGCAGATACATATATATATATATATATATATAAATTTCTTTTTTTTTTTGATGGAGTCTCACTCTGTTGCCCAGGCTGGAGTGCAGTGGTGCGATCTCAGCTCACTGCAACCTCTGCCTCATAGGTTCAAGCAATTCTCTGCTTCAGCCTACTGAGTAGCTGGGATTACAGGCGCCTGCCACCACACCTGGCTAATTGTTTTGTATTTTTAGTAGAGATGGGGTTTCACCATCTTGGCCAGGCTGGTCTTGAACTCCTGTCCTCGTGATCCACCCACCTTGGCCTCCCAAAGTGCTGTGGTTACAGGCGTGAGCCACCATGCCTGGCCTATATATGCAATAAAATAAGCACATTTTAAAATTGGGCAAAGTACTTTTTTGCATATCTACCAGTGACCTATGTGCATAGGAAAAGATAGCATTCCTGGTAGAAGAAGGAATTTAAGTTAGAAGAGGAATGAAATACTGTTTTCTATTTAAGTTAGAGGAGGAATGAAAGGCCAGGTGCAGTGGCTTACGCCTGTTACCCCAGCACTTTAGGAGGCTGAGGCAGGTGGATCATGAAGTCAGGAGTTTGAGACCAGCCTGGCCAGTGTGGTGAAATCCTATCTCTACTGAAAATACAAAGAATTAGCTGCGCATGGTAGCATGCACCTGTAATCCCAGCTACTCAGGAGGCTGAAGCAAGAGAATTGCTTGAACCAGGGAGGTGGAGGTTGCAGTGAGCCGAGATCGTGCCACTACATTCCGGCATGGGTGACAGAGTGAGACCCCATCTAAAAAAAAAAAAAAGCATGAAATACTGTTTTCTATCCACAAATGAGGATGAATAACAGTGGTACTTATATAGTTGTTTAAAGTTTAAGTTGCTGCAGCTTTTCAAACAGGCACTTTAGTGGTAAGAACCACATTTTAAAAATGTTATGCTTTTTACTCATCAGTTCCATTATACTGAAATATCTTCACCAAATAGATGTCTGTTTTTCTTAGTATTGCTTAAAATAGCAGTGTATTTAGAAAAGCCCATATAAAGATTTCATGAACAAATTTCAGTGCATCCATAGGACGGAATAATATGTAACTATTGAGGGTGTCAGTACATAGAGATATGTCGACATGCAAAGATGTACCTTGCTATAGCAAGTGAGAAAAAAATCAGTTTGTTACACATATACACGAACAGAATCTGCTCTTGTGTTAGCTGAAAATATGTAGAAAATATAATCAAACTTGTTTCTGGGGATTTGTAAATGAAGTTTTTCCTTTTATCTGTGATTTCTGCAATGAACATCTGAACTTTTAGTTTAGGTTCATTAGTAATGACATAATCCTTGGGAAGAGAAGGAATATGCTTCTTGCATAGATGCAAATAATTTCTCACATTCTATTATTTATTTTTATTTCTGTGGTTGGCTATCTACTGTGAACTTTTACCCTCTTCAGAAGTAGAGGGATTGTGTTTACCTGTTCCTGTAGATTTTATTGTATATAGATTTTATTACATAATTACCTTTTCATTATATATAGATTAACATGTAAAAAGTATGAATTAATCATTTTAGTTGAGTTATATATTTATGAAAATTAAAATAGCAAATATAAATGATATTACTATTGCAAATGTATTGCCCTACTCTACAGGAGTTTTCTTTAAAAATATTGAACTCCCAAGCTGTGTTCATCCATTGTTTTCAATCCGTTTAGTCATCAGACATAAGCCAGACACCTATTATGGGGCAGGCATATTCTACTATCTCTCAGGATCCTTCCATCTTTGAAAACATTTATGTTTGCCTGCTGGGCTTGAGCAAGCTGAGAGATTTAAAATTGGGGCATTAGGACTTAATCTCAATTGAAGCTTCTCCTCCCTCCTTTCAAACAGAAGCATTTCTGAAGGTAGAAAATAGTAAAAGACAACCCTTAACTGCCCTTTTGAAAATGTATAAGTCTTGGATAAAGACTGTTTTAGTTGTTTTAAGAACTAAAATGTGGTACATAAACAGCATGGAATACTATGCAGCCATAAAAGAAGGAACGAGAGCCTGTCCTTTGCAGGAACATGGATGGTGTTGAAAGCCATTATCCTTAGCAAACTAACATAGGAAGAGAAAACCAAATACTGTATGTTCTCACTTATAGGTGGGAGCTAAATGATGTCAACACACAGATACCTAGAGGGAAGCAACACACACTGGGGCCTATCAGAGGGTGGAGGGTGGGAGGAGGGAAAGAAGCAGGAAATAGAATGAACGGGTACTGGGCTTAACACCTGGGTAATGAAATAATCTGTACAACCAACCCCATTGGTGCACGTTTACCTATGTAACAAACCTGCACATCCCGCACATGTACCCCTGAATGTAAAAGTTGAAAAAAGCTCCACAAATAGTTTCATAAATCCATTTTAAAAAGAGAAAATTTATAACAGTCTTAAATCCTAATATGAATGATTGGAAATATCTGATGTACATACATTGTATAAATCTAAGTATTGAAAAAAATGAGCCCATGCTATTCATTTCAATTCCAAGTTTTGTTTGGCTTAAAGTTTATTGAAAACCAAAGTAAGAATTGGTTTATTTTAGAAATTTGTTTTTGTTTTCACTTCAGCTCTCTTATTCCATAGTACTTTTAAGAACTAAAATTTAAATGCTGGTCATCTGACTGGAACCGCCCCAGACCTGTTACATTATAACATATTCTACTTAATGTAAGGCACCAGAGATTGTATGATGCCCCATTATTTTATGTCTCAATAAGAGAATTATTTAAATGCCGCCAATTATAGTAAATCATGAATTGTAAGTGGTATTTCAGTGGAGACAACATGGAGACAATGATCATCTCAGAATCACTAAAATACAATGTTAGCTGTAATATTTAAAACACACCTGAAAGTGTAGGTATAATTGTATCATCTCACTTAATTCAAATGTTGTCTTTAGTGGTATTAGTAAAAATCATAATATCTAACAATTATTGAGCTGTTATTTGTGTTAGGAACTATTCTGTATCTTTTGTGCCGAGTCTCATTTAAGCATTACAGTGGTTTCCTGTGAGAAAGCTACTATTTTCATTCCTATTTTATTGATGAGGAAACTGAGACCCCAAAAGGCTAAGCAACAGCCAGAAAGTGACAGAGCTTCAAGTAGGATTCCAGCCCAAGTTGAATGTCATCCAAGGGCTATGCTCTTTGTATTCATATAGGCTGCTCTTTCATTAATACAGCGAGTAATGAGAGATAATAAATCGTGTGCTTTTTTCATGGGAAAGTTAAATGTTTGTTTTGAAGGCACAGTAATAGCAGGCTATTCAGTGTTTGCGATTATGTGTATCATTGATATGGCTGTAGCTAGTGCACTACAATTTCCTAAAAAGTCTTCTCACCCTCATAGGACTGCTCTACATCTGGCCTCTGCCAATGGAAATTCAGAAGTAGTAAAACTCCTGCTGGACAGACGATGTCAACTTAATATCCTTGACAACAAAAAGAGGACAGCTCTGACAAAGGTATGCAGTAGCCAACTATGTCAGCGTGAAGTGGGTTTGATTTCAATACATAGCATAAAAATGAGTTTTCTCCTTTAAATATAACTAGTTGGTGAAAGCTGTGGAATGTTATTTTGAAATCCTAGGATTTGTAATTTGTTTATGGTGTAATACTGACAGGCCGTACAATGCCAGGAAGATGAATGTGCGTTAATGTTGCTGGAACATGGCACTGATCCGAATATTCCAGATGAGTATGGAAATACCGCTCTACACTATGCTATCTACAATGAAGATAAATTAATGGCCAAAGCACTGCTCTTATACGGTGCTGATATCGAATCAAAAAACAAGGTATAGATCTACCAATTTTATCTTCAAAATACTGAAATGCATTCGTGTTAACATTGACCTGTGTAAGGGCCAGTTTTCCATATTTGGAAGCTCAAGCATAACCTGAATGAAAATATTTTGAAATGACCTAATTATCTAAGATTTTATTTTAAATATTGTTACTTTCAAAGAAGCATTAGAGGGTACAGTTTTTTTTTTTTTAATGCACTTGCGGTAAATACTTTTTTTTGAAAACACTGAATTTGTAAAAGGTAATACTTACTATTTTTCAGTTTTTCCCTCCTAGGATTCTTTTCCCCTAATGAATGTAAAATGGCAAAATTTGCCCTGAAATAGGTTTTACATGAAAACTCCAAGAAAACTTAAACATGTCTCAGTGAATAGAGATCCTGCTTCTTTGGCAAGTTCCTAAAAAACAGTAATAGATACGAGGTGATGCACCTCTCAGTGGCAAGGCTTAAGATATTTCTGATTGCTCATGAGGCAGAAGTGGAAAGGGAAAAAGAGAGCAGTCAGAAATATCAGGGCCAATTTGGAAATTAGGCAATAGAGGGAAGAGACCATGAAGAGGTTGTGTGTGTGTGGTGTTGTTGTTGTTGTTCATTTATTTATTTCCTTTGTATGGTGAGACAAAGTTCTCTTTGATTTTAGAGAATGACAGTTTTCAGTTTGGGAGAGGGAGTTAGTGGGTTGTAAACTGCCTAGAGATGAATTTTAGGAGGCCTCTGAGGAACCAGATTGGCAGTGAATAGGTGGGTAATGTAAGGGGAAACCCTTGAGCAGGGGGAATATCAAGTAATTAACTGACTTAGTATCCTCTTCTGGTAGAAGTGGCCAATTAGAGCCTCAGCTCTGCTTTCAAATCTAGAGTGTCTGGATGGGAAGGTGGAAGATAAATGAGTAACAAGATCAAGTTGGATTTTGAGTTGACTAGATACTGTTGTGTTACCGGGAAAAATTATGTGGTGTTTTCAGCAAATGGGTCTCTCTCCTACTCTTTACTCTTTTTGGCCAAATCTTCAAATAAGAAAGGGAATTGGTTATCTGGGTGGTGAGAAATGAGACTGAAGTAATTGTCTATTGTACTAGCTTTCAGCTAGAATTGTGCATCCCAGTAACCTGAGGAAAATTTTTAAATAATCAACAAGTCTAGGCTTATTCCTGAAGATTTTGATACAGTAAGTCTAATAAAGCTTGGATATGTATATTTAAAAATGTTTCCTTGAAGCCAGGCATGTTGGTGCATGGCTGTAGTCCCAACTGTTAGGGAGGCTGAGGTGGGAGGATTGCTTGAGCTCAGGAGTTCGAGTCTAGCCTTGTCAACATAATGAGCCCCTGTCTCTAAAAACGACAGCAACAATAACAACAGCAACAATTTTCTCAAAATCTGGATACACTCCTGCTTAAGAACCACTGAATACATAAATGTAATATATAAATTCTTATATCTCAGAAACTTAAGGTATCTCTAGAAGAGTTGGAGTTGGATATGTGCTGATTTCTTTAAATCTTTCCTTTCCAATAACATTAATCTGACTTTTTTTTTTTTTTTTAGATTGAGTCTCACTCTGTTTCCCAGGCTGGAGTGCAGTGGTGTGATCACAGCTCACTGCAACCTCGACCTCCCGAAGCTCAGATGGTCCTCCAACCTCAACCTCAGTTGTTTTTTTCTTTCTTTCTTTTTATTTTTATTTTTATTTTTATTTTTTTTTAGTAGAGATTTGGTTTTTGCCATGTTTCTCAGGCTGGTCTTGAACTCCTGGGCTCAAGCAATTCATCCCCCTCAGCCTCCCAAAGTGCTAGGATTACAGGTGTGAGCCACCATTCCTGGCCTAGTCTGACTTTTATCTCTGTGGTTGAGACATTAAAATGAATATTATTGGTAGTATCTATCAGGTTACATATCAGGTTACAGAATAATATATTTTCCTTTCTACCATCAGTTATTCACTGCCATTCAGAAGGTCTTTAGTAGTTTGCTGTGAGCAGTCTTTCAATAAGTAGAGGATGGCCCTCTCAGGATTTTGTGTCTCTTTGTTCAGTCATTCAAGTGCTTAGGTCAGTAAGTCATTAAGAGCAGAGTTTTCTCAATTGGAATTAAGCAAATTCTAAACTGTTTTTTATCAATTGAAGCTGTATTGTGGACTGTCCAGTGTGTCTCTTTAAGTATGTAGAGCTTTGGCATAATCAGCATGGCAGTTTTACACACTTAAAACCATGGAGTTATTAAGAATGCAGATAGGAATTCTGTTAATTTAGTTTCAGTAGTCCTATGAACTGATTATTTAGTAACAATCTGGGAAAGTTAAATATAAATAGATTTTAAATAAATAAATGTTGGAAAATTTTTTCAGATGGGCAGTGTGAGTTTTAATAGCAATTTTTGTTGCATGTTGGAGGTTGAACTTTCAGTAAAACATGAAACTAAAGAAATATTTTACATGCAAATTCTTGCTTTATACGCAATTTATCTTAGGGTTGAGGATATAGAAACAAAAGATACAGCCCCTGCCCTCAAGGAGCTCTTTGTTTAGATGGGAAAAATATTACCATCCAATAATACCATATCAAATGCTGGGTTAGAAGCAAAGAGCCTTGGAAGCAGTAAATGTTTAAAGTGAGTTTTTGAGATGAGTAGAGTTACTGTGGTGAGGCAGAGAAGGGGTGTTTCCAAGGGAAGGAGCAGCGTGTGGGAAAGCACAGAAGAGTGAGAAGGAAGCGACTACATTTTATTTACTTTCTATGCATGTAAGTCCATAAGATCTTATATAAAGTTTCCACTTCGGTTGAGGAATATGTACTTTTTTGAATTACATACGTTTTTGCTTTATATTGTTTTACAGCATGGCCTCACACCACTGTTACTTGGTGTACATGAGCAAAAACAGCAAGTGGTGAAATTTTTAATCAAGAAAAAAGCAAATTTAAATGCACTGGATAGATATGGAAGGTATAGTTCTTTCTTTTAATCTGTGTGTTCTAGATGGATAGCAGTCACTCAAGTCATAAATATTAAATTAATAAGATTAATGTATACTTATTGGGATATAGTGATCAGTATGAACACAAATCAGTTCGGTAGAAAAACAATTATTTGGACTGGGCAACATAAAAGTTTTAGTAGGATTCATCTTTTATTATATTGACTGATGTTATTTGCTATGTAATGTTTTTGGTTACATGATCTTATGTTAGCTAAAGGGATTTCATATTTTATGAAGTTTGAACTTTAATTTTAGTTTACTTTATGACTCAGTATTGAACTTCTTAACCCTTTCTAATAGTTTTTAACCTGTGTCTTACATGCTTTTCCACTAAATACGCTGTATTAACCATAAATAGGGGTTGAAAATCCTTTTGTCTTTTCAATGATTCTGCCTTAAGTTGCTTTCTTTGAAGAATATTAATGTTAGCTTATCCCTGCATGACAATTAATTGCTGTTCCCACGTACTGTGGGTTCAACAGCTTTTTTCCTTTTTTATTTCCAGTGTATTTTGATGTTTTTATTTTTAATTGGTATGGAGAGAGGGAGTGAAGATAGTTTTAAGTGGATACACTTTTCCTTTAATGAAGACAAGCCGTAGGTGGGTGATAAAGAGAAAAAAGTTAGGCTTTAGATTCACACAATACTGGTTTTAATTCCTAACTTTCTTACTTGCTAGGTGTGTGACCTTGGGAACGTTATTTACCACCAAATATGTTGTCATATATGAAAAGTAGGAGAATATATCCTTCAAAGTTTGCTGTGCATAAGAAAGATATATGTGGCATTTAATTCAGTGCCTAGCACATGCTTATTGGCATCATTAACTGAAACTCCTGTGACTACTATTCTTACCATTATTATTAATCTTACTTGCTTTCAGCATGCAGAGAGCTCTTAGTTATTTTACCCCCTAGCTGATTTTCTATTACAGCATATCAGTCTAGGGAAGCTGTGATGAAATCTTCACTTAAATCTTTGTTCATTTCAGATAAGTGGCCCTAATATTGTTTCTTGTCCATCAAAGGACTTTAAATTAGTAGCTTCTGCTATGCAATACCCCACTGAGATAAGAGGGTTTTTTTTTTTTTGTCCCTTCCTTTCAACCTTGGTGGTATTTTACAAAGATGAACACTTGAGCACTGAAGATGCTTATGTCTTTTAGTGCATGTAAATGTTTGATTCTGCACGGACAGGCAAGATGTTAAATTGGTAAAGTATATCAAATTAGCTTTTAAAATAACTTTATTACTGTTCCTATCTCTGTCATTTTAGAACTGCTCTCATACTTGCTGTATGTTGTGGATCGGCAAGTATAGTCAGCCTTCTACTTGAGCAAAACATTGATGTATCTTCTCAAGATCTATCTGGACAGACGGCCAGAGAGTATGCTGTTTCTAGTCGTCATAATGTGTAAGTGTTTACATTAAAAGGCTAGTTAATGCTAAATTGAGGTTTAAAATAATTATAACAGTTACATCTTACATATCAGGTGAGATGTCATAGTTCAGTTCAGGTAATTTTCGTGTGGCAGTGAGCTAGTCCCCTGCATCAGCCAGAAATCAGACAAAAAACAAGACAAGTTAGAAGTACCAGTGGGTGCAGGATTCTTTATCTCAGGACTTTTAAGACCTTTATCCATAGAGATCCCAACATTGTTCATTTGATCCAAGTGTAGCACCTATGCATGGGATAAAAAATAGTATCACATCTTTGATTTTTCTGATTAGTTATTTGGGTCTTGAAATGTCCAGTTTATCAGAAAGTCTTGTACTGTCTTCTGGGGACTATGTCCTAGATACTCCTTGAATTTTTCAGGAACCAAAGGGGTTCACTAAATCCAAGGAAGACGGTCCCTTTTATCAAGTCAGAAGGAGGAGAAAAAAAAGGACATTGCAATCATTCTGTTGTTTCCATTGATTCTGCTGCTGCATTGTTGCCACTCAGACTGGTCCTGCTGCCTTAAGATGAATCGGTAGATTCAGGTCCCTCAAGTCTTCATGGCAATTGATACAGTGACTTTGATGTTTTTTGTTCCCATACCTATGGTTATATGCTCAGCCATTGTTCCCAAAGCAGCAGCCCCCTGCTCTGGCCCCTGGGCATCCTGACTTTATCCACACACAAAATGAGCAAATTGACCCTTCCCCCCATATTCAGAACCTAATGTGGAACCCACATCTTAGCCAAGAATTAGCTGAGACCTTCATGGTAAGAGATCCTTTGAGGCCGTTGTTGGTCTTTTCTCTAGCAGATATTAGGTAGGCTTGTTCTAAAGGGTCAGAGGAGTTCCAAAGGGTCAGAGGGGTGGCAGAAAGAGATCAGTGTTTGTTTCTTCTTCTTTGCTACCAGATCTATACTGTGAGGCACCTTTATATCCTGTATAGAACCTTGGGCAGTAGAAAGTCCCATATGAACCTTCCCCTGAGCAGTGGCTCCCAGCTGTGGTTGGCCCCTTGAGTGACCCGATTTACATGATAATGAAAATCGTCCAAGCTACTTCCATCTCTAGCTCAAGATTTTAAGATATTTTCAAACTCTAGCTCACAGGAAGCCATTGAAGAGAAATCTCAGAATCTCAGGTAGGTTAGTTGGACTCAACAGAGCCAAGCCTTGTCCATGAAGCATCACTAGGCATGTGTAAAAGTAGGGCTTTGTGCTTGCTTCGGCGGCACATATCCTAAAATTAGAACAATACGGAGAAAGTTAGCGTGGCTTCTGCATAAGGAGGCAGCACAGATCTTTGAAGCATTCCATATTTTGTGCAGTCACTGGAAGGTCATTTGACTATTTGCTGACTAGCTCTAAGGAAACAGTGTGAATCAAAGCGAAATGGGTGCCACCCAAATATTGAAATTGTGATTTGCGCTGCAAAAATAGTCATGTAAGATGGTCTATGAGATGACTTAGAGCTGAATAACATGTTTGGTGCAAAATATATTGTTAGTATGTATGTCGAAAATGACAGAATGTCAGCTTGCTACTTCTTCATGGAAACTAAAAAAAATAAAAGTAGACTTTTGGTCTCCCATGTCAGCCGGAATTGAACATCAATATAAAGCATCATTGTAACCAACATCTGCGGGCTCAGAGTTTGAGTCTGTAGAGAAGGCTCATTGGTCCAAACCAGGTCTTAACATCCATTGGTTTTTCTGCCCTTGGTGTGATTGATCAACTCCGTAATAGTGGACAATCACATTATCTACTTTAATGAGATATTTAGGAATACATTTAGTTACAAACTATGACATAGTTGAGATGCCCTGAAATATAAGCCATAAAGAGTAGGACAACTAAGAGGCAAAATTCGGACTTAATAACATTTTCTGAAAACTACAACATTTGCATATTAGAACCTATGAACAAAATACGCATTGGGTTTTATTTGTGATTCCAAGATAATTTTAGTCATAAAGTTTAGGAAGAGATTATTCCATTGCTTTACTATTTCTCTCAGCATTTAAAAAATGTGATCTCATTAAATTTTTATCGGAACCTAGGGAAATAAGGCAGCAAAGTCCTCACTTTGTTGAAGAAGACATTGAGCCTAAGAGAAGCAAGTTGTCCAAGAACAAATAGCTGTTCATTATGGAGCTAGGACTTATGCAGAGTTGGGACACTTTCTATTATGTCAGGTTAATGCAACCTAATTTACTGGGTCACATGCCCTCGATTTATGAGTATTTCACCCTACATTTTTTTCTTCTTTAATTAGAAGCTTAAAGAGAAGTTTGCAGAATGTACTCATAAGTGGATGGGATAATACTGTTAAGTTCTGTTATTCTGATATTGTTTGAAATACTGTTAAGAATTTCACATTTGGTAAGTATTTTTTATATCAGTATTAAAATAGTAATTTGGTTTATTACAATTTTATACATAGAATTTGCCAGTTACTTTCTGACTACAAAGAAAAACAGATACTAAAAGTCTCTTCTGAAAACAGCAATCCAGGTAAGACTTATAACAGTGAATTACTTTAGGTTAGTTTTCCCCAACCTTTTTGGCACCAGGGACCGGTTTTGTGGAAGACAATCTTTCCATGGGCTGGGGAAAGGTGGGGATGGTTTCAGAATTATTCAATCATGTTACATTTATTGTGCTATTTTATATTATTATTACATTGTAATATATAATGAAATAATTATACAACTTACCATAATGTAGAATCAGTGGAAGCTCTGAGCTTATTTTTCTGCAACTAGATGGTCTTATCTGGGGGCAAAGTGAGACAATGATAGATCATCTGGCATTAGATTCTCATACGAAGCACACAACCTAGATCCTTCGGATAGGCAGTTCACAACAGGGTTCGTGCTCCAATGAGTTTCTAATGTTATCACTGATCTGAGTGGAGGCAGAGTTCAGGCTGTAATATGAGCCATGGGGTGTGGCTGTAAGTACAGGTGAAGCTTCCTTGGCTTGCCTAGTGCTCACCTCCTCCTGTGTGGTGTGGTTCATAATAGTCCGTGGACTGGTATGAGTCTGTGGCCTGGGAGTTGAGGACCCCTGCTCTGGGTGGTTCTACCATAGATAAAAAACTAAAAGTAAGGAATTTTTGATCACAAAAGAACACTGAAGCACAGGTCATGTTACATATGCTTGTCCCAATAAGGTCTCACTATTACTGACTTCATTCCTCCTCATTTGAAGTTGGAAAGAGATATATTGACTTTTTTGGAACAAGATGTGTTCTTCTACCTGCTGGTTAATTGTCATGATAACAGTAATTTTGTTAGAACAAGATGCTCTGCTACCATTTGCCAAAAGAGTGTCATAATAAATATGCAAATTGCCCAACTCTAGGCTCAGCAGATTATCATAAAAGTAGAAAAATGTTTCACACTCACAAAAATGCTAGTATGCTACCTGATTGTAGACACCTAATACACTGTATAGTCCAAACTGTATGAGGACACCTTTAATTTAGCCATCTATTTATCAAAGAGCTTCTGTAAGTTAGGTTTTATAAGTTGCAGGAGACAAAAATGGAATAGATGTAGTTTTCATCTTTAAGGTGCTCATAATAGAGCTGTCTCCATTTCATTTCTGTGCTTTTTCAACAGAATTTACAAAGAAAACATTTCCATTTTCACTTGTCCACTTAACAGATAACTATCAAATGTCTTTTAGATACTAGCCATTTTTTCTAATGCTACAGAGCACAAACAATTAAAAGTAGAGACAGGAGCTTGTTATTATCATTGTCATTTTCATTATTTGACTACTTTATTCAGTGCTTACTGTGTGCTAGATGCCCACTGGAAGCTTATAATTATGATTTATTATATATTGATTATGTGCCAGACATATGTGATGAGGAATGAAAATTTTGGAAAAAAGTAGGTATGATTTAAGGTAAGCATGCAGAGAGAGAAGAATTTTTCTAGGTAAAGAAGCAGAAGAATAATGTTTGGCAGAAGGAACATGCAACGAGGTTGTGTGTTTGCCAGAAGGAACATCTAATGAGATTGCCTGTTTGGCAGAAAGAGCAGCAAGTGCAAAAGACAAGATGCTTGAGTGAACTTTGCAGGGATTCTGAGCAATTCACTTTTGCTAATACCAAAAGTGTGAGATACGAGAGGTTGGGAATGAGGTGAATACTTAGCTAAGGCAAGTTCATGATAGACATTTTAATACTACAGAAATGAGTAGGTTTTACCCCATGGGCCATGGGAAGTTTACCAGGTAGAATGCTTTGGACTGCAAATACTAGATGAGCGGTGGCTAAAACAGTAGGAACCAGAGTTGTTTTGTTTGTTCATTGATATCCTAGGATCCCACTTGTCCCTCTTTCAGCTGTGCTGTTGGCAGTGTTTTATTCACGTAACTGGGAGAAAACTTAGAAGCATGCAAGGGCTTCCTGTAATATTTCATTGGCTAGGTCAGAGTACCTGCTCATTCCCAAACCAGGCACTGGGAAGGAAAATACATGATTAGCTTAGAATAAACATTTCTCTTTCTGAGGCTGAGGAGGGGGATTGGGATAATAAATATCCCAATAGACTTGTGTTTCTTCTGCAAGAAAGAATAAGGAATGGCTATTGATAGGGAGCCAACAATGTGTGCTGCAGGGGCTCATTGGAGAAATTTGAGCAGGGGAGTCACAAGATTAAATTTGAGTATTAAGGCTTCTGGTTATGGTGTAAAATGGGTTAGAAAGCTTTTTCTGTAAAGGACTAGGTGGGAAATATTTTAGACTATGTGGTCTCTGTCATGTCTTCTTAACCCTGCTGTTGTCTGCTGTTGTAGTGTGAAAGCCACCAGAATTATATGTAAGCAAACAGGCATGACTGAGCTCCTATAAAACTTTACTCACAATGCCATAATGCAGATTGGATTTAGTCTGTAGCCTATAGTTTGCTGGGATTGATGGAAGGTTCTTTACTATGTAAAGAAACCAGGAGACAAAGGAAGCTTTTGCAGTAGTCAGCTATGGTTTCCTTGTCATACATCCTTGGAGTAGCATCAATGTATTACAAGGTTTTCACCTGTCCATAGTGAAATAAATAAAGTTAGGAATCTCAATTACTCGTTTTAATATGTTGGCCTTTTTTTTTTTTTTTTTTTTTTGGTGTTATGCTTTTTTCATTTGTTTAGCTTAATTTTTTTCCCGTAAGAAATAACATTAATTGTTGGCAGTTTTTTTTTTCATAAAAGCCATTTTGTAAATGTTCATGTTCCCAGTGGCAGTGGGAATACAAAATGGAGGCAGAAGAGAGGTATCGTCAATATGATTTAGTGATAATTGAATGAGAAAGGCTTGGGGGACAGAGAGAAATCTCAGATGATGTACAGGTTTCCAGGTTGTACACTAGTATTTAACCTAGACGTGAGGAAGGAGTAGGAAATTTTCTGGTGAATACAGAAGAGCAAAGAACAGCAGGTCAGCAGGAATGACTAATGTTTTTCTATGCATGTTTAATGGAATATTCGTGTAGGATATTTTGAGTAGGTAATTGGATAATCAGCATTTGTAACTTGCATCCTAGTAGTCTGACTCTCACTAATAAGACTTGTCAAAGTTCCAAGAATCTGAAAGTGGATGATAAATGTCCATGTGTATCACCATCCATGACCGAAAGTCAGCATCCACAGAACACAGAATTGGGACAGATGAACTTAATAGATAAAGATGAATATCGGAGTTGTTCCTCTTAGGGAATGATACTCTCCATGAGCTGTGTGAGTCACAGCTGCCAGAAAAGAAAGAGCAAGGAGCGTATGAAGGCAGCACAGCAAATTCAGTCCTAGAGTGCCCTGCTTGGCTTCGTGTCATAGTTCTGACTTCTAATAAATCATTTTCTGCAAAATATGCTCTGTGTTTTTCCCTCTTGCTGCCTGCAGCCAAACAGAATCCCTTTAGCAGGGCATTTTTGTGTTCTTCCTTTAAACAAGGCAACATATAAATAATGAAAACAAGAGAAAGAGTGGTTTTTGTATGGGATAGTATTTAACGTAAACTTGAGAGTGAGTACCAGGATTATACTTAGAATTTATGGACTGGATGGGAAGACTGGATAGAAATCTAAAGATTGCTGACTCAAACACAATGTAATTTCTTTGCTTTATTGTCACAGCTCTGAATTCACGACTCTTAGTTGTATTCATATGCACTATAACTTTACAAAGCATCTTCCCAAACCAAATCTTTACTGATTTATTATAATTTGTATGACTTTATTATAGAATTGACTTTCCAAGTGTTCATGAGAATTATTGAGAATTCGCTACATAGTATCATTTCAGTTGTGTCCACATGAATTATCAGTCACCTTGTCTTAATGAATAATGGTTCACTACAAATATTGGTTTTGGCATTTAAAGTGATCTATATCTAAATGCAGATAGGACCAGGGACCACTCTTGAACATTAATGTCCAAGCATCTTAAAATTACACATGAGGCTTTCATAATCTGACTTCTGCCCCACTCTCCATCTTTAGCCCTTTTCCCTGTGTGCCCTTTCTCTGGCATTACTGAGCTGCTGGTAGTGCCCTACTCACTCATCCTTCTATTGTAGGCAAATACTTTCATTCTTTCAGGCCTCGCTCCCGCTCTTGCTGCTGCCGGGCATGCTGTCACCCTTTCCTGCCCTCTACCCCTTTTAATCTGGCCAGCCTCAATATTTAAGTCTCTGCTTGGGCATGTGTTCTAGAAAAGCCATCCCTGAGATGCTTTATTTTCATTCTTTTTAGACCCTAATGCCTAGCATGTATGTAGCAGGACTCAATACAAATTTTCTGAGTAAAACAAAGACTGTTTTTACAAAGATGATGTGCAAGACTCTCCCCTGCAGTTTTGGAGCAGAGGGGACAGACATATGGAGAAATAATGTACAGCTTAGGGGGTAAAGATGCCGTAGAAAAATCAGTAAAATACTAAGGCAGCCTCAAGGAAGGAGATACCTGTTTATTTGGGGAAAGACATGCAGAATCAAGGAAGACTTCACATAGAATTGTTTCAAAAGATGAAAATAAGTCTGGGTGTGGTGGCTCATGCCTGTAATCCCAGCACTTTGGAGGCTGAGGTGGGCGGATAATGAGGTCAGGAGATTGAGACCATCCTGTCCAATGGTGAAACCCCATCTCTACTAAAAATACAAAAATTAGCTGGGTGTGGTGGTGCTTGCCTGTAATCACAGCTACTCAGGAGACTGAGGCAGGAGAATCACTTGAACCAGGGAGTCAGAGGTTGCAGTGAGCTGATCGCACCACTTCATTCCAGCCTGGTGACAGAGCAAGACCCTGGCTCATTAAAAAAAAAAAAAAAAATTAAAATAAATTTGTCAGAATTATGGAGGGAAACATTTTAGATATTAGGAAAATGTTGTACAGTAATAAAGGTGTCAGCAGTGATTTTGGAAATCATTTATAAGGTACTATTAGGAAGTGGAGAACAATATACTGTGTCACTTTATTGTTTCTACTGTATTTTAAAGCTGTGTTTATGGTGGTTTTGTTCATTTATGTTGGGTGGATGAATTTATGAGGGAATTTTTAACATGTGTGTATGTCTTCAATCTGGTGACATCTGATGTCTCCCCAAGTGGTTTTTTGAAGTTTTTGAGAATTATTTCATAAATGACAATTTCATGAAAGATTAAACACTCAATTTATGAAATAAAATGAAATGTCTTAAATCTGTTTTTAAAAGGCAATAGTTTTTAACTGTTGTAAGTGGTTGATTTTAACTGAATATATGGATTTTTCAACAGAACAAGACTTAAAGCTGACATCAGAGGAAGAGTCACAAAGGCTTAAAGGAAGTGAAAATAGCCAGCCAGAGGCATGGAAACTCTTAAATTTAAACTTTTGGTTTAACGTTTTTTATTTTTTTTTTTTTTGCTTTAATAATATTAGATAGTCCAAATGAAATTACTTTTGAGACTAGGCTTTGAGAATCAATAGATTCTTTTTTTAAGAATCTTTTGGCTGGGGGGGTGGCTCATGCCTGTAATCTCAGCACTTTGAGAGGCTGAGGTGGGCGGATCATGAGGTCAGGAGATCGAGACCATCCTGGCTAAGATGATGAAACCCCGTCTCTACTAAAAATACAAAAACTTAGCCGGGTGTGGTGGTGGGCACCTGTAGTCTCAGCTACTCAGGAGGCTGAGGCAGGAGAATGCCATGAACCTGGGGGGTGGAGCTTGCAGTGAGCCGAGATCTGCCACTACGCTCCAGCCTGGGTGACAAAGCAAGACTCTGTGTCAAAAAAAAAAAAAAAAAAAAAAAAAAAAATATTTTAATAGATTCTTAAAATTTATTGTAATAAATTCAGCAACCTTATTAAAAGAATCAATAGATTCTAATTTAATATTTGATATTTAACTTCAACATAACCCACTATGAAATTTAAAATACTCTTATTTTAAAATATTCTTATCTGCCTTCTTGATTAGCTTATAGCTAATCTTTCCTTTTGGAATAGAGGCAAAAACAAATTTCAGAACTTTGTTCTTTTATTTTTACAACATCCTAACATGATGAAGAATGTAACATCAATTATTGGATTATATTATTAAGCAATAGAATTATGAACAATGTAACACTGATGGTCCCTGAGCTGGATTCATGGTTAAAGAGTAATCATGGCCAGTGATTGAAAATCTGCAGTTTTATATTGTCAGTCACTGATACTAAGGTTAAAGATATATTCTGCCTTGTGGTCTCTCATTGACCTCAGTGTTTCTGTTTAGGGAGGGAACCAGGTCAAAAAAGCAACCCAACTGCCTATTAAAGGAATCATATCTTGCAGAATGGGACCTTTGGTGTTAGTGCACAAACACAATAACATTCTAATTTATTTCAGTTGCAGAAAATCAGGACAGATTAAAATTTTTATCTACTGTCATTAGTACATATTAGAATATATTAGAACTGGACTTAAGCAGATAATCTAGATACATAACACTATCATATTACAGTATATAATTTCAATTAAAATGTAAGAATTTGCATCTCTTTCTGTTTGGTGTTGATTTCGGCTCCTAATAATTTAAAGTGTGCCTACAATCCAGTTAGGAATCTTTTGAAAAAGCACTTCAGTGCACTGTAGGGGCTCACTAGTTAGGGTTTCATGAGGTAAACTCTTTTCAAGTGAGGAAGGTTTTGCAACACTACAAATGATCTGCTGATTCATTTTTGGTAGATTTAACACATAACAAATTAAGTTTAGTCTGAACAAATAGTGACCAAGTTAAGTTTGCTGGTTCATGTTTTTCTTCTCCCTTTGGCTAAGGTGAATTATTTTTCACATGTTAGAAGCCAGTGATGTGGCGGTAGCTAAACATAGATTAAAAAGTTAATCTTAATTTTAATTATTATTTATTTTTTAAGTTTAATTTTAATTATTTTCTAATTTTTATTGTCCATACTTGATTACTTAAGAATAAAATTATTTTAAAAACATGTGCTCCAAAAGAGGAGACATCACAGAAATACAACAAGCAAATTAACCTTCTGTTTTTGCATCTGCAGGAAATGTCTCAAGAACCAGAAATAAATAAGGGTGGTGATAGAAAGGTATACTTTTATATTCAAATGTTTGCGTTGAATTAGATTTTTACATTATGTTGTTTAACAAAGTGTAGTAAGTGTAGGCATACGTGATCCTATCATGTAAGTAGCATAAATCATCAGTGAAAAATTTAATACTTAACTCAGAATTCTATACATTGAATTTTAAAGAGATGCAAACCCTAGAGATATTCTTTCATTATTATGGAATAGTCCCAAATGGTGCCGTAAAATGCTAAGTAATGCCACTTTAGGAGCTTTGGATCAATAATTTTATCTTTCTTGGTTTTAGTCTGATTATCAATAGAAAATGTGGCTAAAGTAGATAATTTTTTATTCTGTGTATTTTCCAGCTAGAAAATTTTATGGCTATCGAATGTGAAATTTGGGGAGCAACTCATTTTCTGGAATTCCATGATTGTACCTCAGCAGTTTCACTCTGCTCCTTATGTTGTGGGAAACTTTGGTTCCCATGTTTCAGTGAGCACCTTCGTGTTTTTGATATCCTAGGAACCTAATGAAAAAAGAATGCTCAAAGGCAGTGGGGGAGAAGAATATCTTAGTGCAGAAAAGGGCCATCTTCCATTCTATTCCTGAAGCCCCATGGTGTCTCATCCTCTAAAATGACTGTTTAATGTAAAATCTAGGTGGTAAAGAGGGATGAAGACACATTTTGCATCTTTGTCTTTTTATTTATGTGTTCCCACCAGTCAAATGGGGGTAAATACATATATAAGATTCTGAAGAGTGATTGAGAATAAAAGCACAAAATAAAGGAGGGCCCTTTTTGAATTTTGGAAAATTCTGTTTTACTCATTGAAACAGAAATGAAGCAAACTTTACAAAAATTTCTGTGATATATTAGTGATATGATAAGTACATCTTAAAATTATATGGTAATAGTTCTGTGTATATGATCCAATTTAAGAGTGAAATGTTTTTAATGACTAAAATAATGATAAACTGGTCAAGTGATAAAATCAATTAAAAATATTCTTTCTATTCAGTAAAGGGATAACTATCCTTAATATCAAACTTTCATTCAAGGTTGAAGAAGAAATGAAGAAGCACGGAAGTACTCATATGGGATTCCCAGAAAACCTGACTAACGGTGCCACTGCTGACAATGGTGATGATGGATTAATTCCACCAAGGAAAAGCAGAACACCTGAAAGCCAGCAATTTCCTGACACTGAGAATGAACAGTATCACAGGTAAGTCTGTGGCAACATTGAACAGGAGATAACTCTATGCTGTGAATCTAATTCATGATGAACAAATTTTATACTTTTACTAGGATATTCAGCCTTGCCTGTTAATCAGAAAAATGAAAATCAGTAAACAATGAGTTACCATTTTTTCCAGTCATTAATTTATTTGAAAAATAGCCAGTATTGGCAAATGTGAGGGAAAAGGCATTTTCTTTTCTTTTCAGTGACCTTTTATTTTAGCTTCAGGGTACATGTGCAGGTTTATTATATAGGTAAACTGTATCATGGAGGTTTGGGTACAGATTATTTCATCAGCCACATAATAAGCAAAATACTCGAATGGTAGTTTTTTGGTCGTCTCCCTCCTGCCACTCTCCACCCTCAAGTAGGCCCCAGTGTCTGTTATTCTCCTCTTTGTGTCCATGAGTTCTCATGTTTAGTTCCCACTAATGAGTAAGAATATGTGGCATTTGATTTTCTGTTCCTGCATTAGTTTGCTTAGGATAATGGCCTCCAGCTCCATCTGTGTTGCTGCAAGGGAAATGGTTTCACTGAAAAAGACATTTCATACACTGTTGGTAAATACATTTTGAACATTAATTTAGTAGCATATTCACACACACACAGATATATAACGGAGTAAGGATGTATAATACATGTAAAGGATATTTGTGTAGATATGTTACATACATACTTACATATAAGGACATTTATTATAGCATTATTATACTAAAAATTTGGAGCTAGTCTACTCCCTTATCAATAGGAAATAGCTCAATGTCCATACCCCCAAAATAATGTATTATGCAACCGTTTTTGAAAAATGAGGTTAGATCTAGGGTATACTGATTATTTCACAATTAAAATGTATTTAAAGCATTTAGTTTAATGACACATCTTAGGAGTTCTTGTTAAAATTCTTGTAATATCTGCTGTGTTGGAAATGGAAGCTACATGCTACATTGACACTGTACCTTGTTAGCAACAAGATTGCTAATTATTAAATTTTTGTTGTCAGTGCCTGAGTGCTGAAATATTGGACCCTCAGTCTGAATATTGCCAAGGGATTGTACATGGGGATCTATATTTAATATAAACATTTCAGTGTATTGGGTAAAACTTTTATTAAAATACATCAAAGATCTTTGATCTACTAAACCAAGAGTTGGCCAGCTTTTTCTGCAAAGAACCAATTAGTAAATATTTTAGGCTTTGTGGACTACATATATTTATTTTCTTGAGACAGGGTCTGGCTCTGTTTCCCAGGCTGGAGTGCAGTTGTGTGATCATGGTTGTGTGATCACTGCAGCCTCGACTTTCTGGGCTCTAGTGATCCTCCCACCTCAGCCTCTCTACTAGCTGGGACCACAGGTGTGCAACATCACACCCAGCTAATTGTCACTATGGACTGTAAAGTGAATAAGCATGGCTGTGTTCCAGGATACTTGACTTACAAAAACAGTCAGTGGGCTGGATTTGGCCCACAGGTGCTTATTTGCTGACCTTTGTGCTAAAAGGAAGGTGCTGCTAATGCATTGACTCTTATATGTAAAAGTGTCCTGCATGGGTGACATTATCTTTCCTTTGAGAAAAGGATATATTTGAGTATTCACCTCACCATATTTTTCCACAGTGACTTCATATAATTTTAAAAACTTCATTTATAAAATAAGATTATTTTCTGCATTTCTCTCTCTTTATTCCTGTTAATAGAACTCAGTATTTTACTGTGATCAATTACTTTGTATATTTGATGAGTGTCAACTGTCCTAGAATTGGCTGATTTTTATCAAGCAAGAAATATTCTCGTTGAGACCTTTAGTATTTCTTGGTCTTTATGTATAAGCATGAATGAACAAAATGATAATCAGCTTATGTGATCTAGAAATGTTCTAGGGGCCTTTAAAACCTTGGTCTGGCATTTAATGCCACATGTGTATAATTTTTATAACCTTTGAAATATATAATTGTTACATAGCATTTGAAACCTCCACCTGTTATGTAAAATTTGGAAACTATTTCTTGTCTATCACTTTTCCATGACTGTGGATGAAAATTACATCATTCTCAGTCGTGAGTGTTAAGTATGTTGTCCTTTAAGTAACTGTCTACACTCACGAACTCAAATTTTCTTTCCATTCACTCTTGATCTCAATGCCAGTAAGTCTTCAATTTCAGCACTCCTCCAGAGTTGTTTTTCTCAAGGTTATCACTACTTTTTTCTGTAAATAAATCTATGCATTTTTTCTTACACCTCATTTTATTTAATCTGTCAGCAATATTTGAGCCAATGGAGGGCATCTTCTCCCTAACGGCGTCTTCACTTGGCTTTCAGGACCTCACTCCCTCAGGCTTTTACTCCTGCCTTTCTAGTCCATTCATCACGGTCTGTTTTGCTTGCTCCTCCTCATCTTTCTCCTTTTGGACATTGCTGTTTCTCATGGCTCAGTCCTCAATCTTCTTTCTCATGACATTTTTTTTTTTTTAAGATGAAGTCTGGCTTTGTCCCCTAGGCTGGTGTTCATTGGCACGATCTTGGCTCATTGCAACCTCTGCCTCCTGGCTTCCAGCGCTTCTCCTGCCTCAGCCTCCTGAGTAGCTGGGATTACAGGTGTGTGACACCATACCTGGCTAATTTTTGTATTTTTAGTAGTGACAGGGTTTCCCCATGTTGGCCAGGCTGGTCTCAAACTCCTGATGTCAGGTGATCTGCCCGCCTTGGCCTCACGAAGTGTTGGGATTACAGGCATGAGCCACAGTGCCTGGCCCTTCATGACTTTTTCTACTGTATATATGCTAGTGATTTCCAAATGCATGTCTCCAACTCAGATCTCACTCCTTAATTCCAGATCTCTGTATCAGCCTGGCTACTTGACAGGCCTAGCCTATCAGACGTAGCTACCTAATAAATAGTTATTTGATTAGCTGTTGAGTATCACACACTTGTCAGATCCAAAATTGGGCTACTGATGGCCTTCCTGAAATCTACACCTCATGTAGTCTTTCCTACTTTGGTTAATGGCAACTCTTCCAGTTGCTCTGCCAAAAACCTCGGTGTCATTCTAGACTCATCTTTCTCTCTCTCTTGACACTTCACATCTAATCTCTCAGTAAATCTCGTCAGGTCTACCTGAAGAATATGTCCAGAAGCCAGTCATATCTTGCACATGTGAGCCACCATCATCTGCCATCTAGATGAGTGTCATAGACTGGGAATTGATAGTCCTGGTTTTTAAAAACTTCCCCTTTCATCAATTCTTAACTCAGTGGATGTATTTAAAACATAAGTCAAATTGTGTCATTCCCCTGCCCCAGCCCTTCTGATTGCCTCCCATTTCACGCTAAGTATGTGTCAGAGTTCCTCCTAATAACTAAAAGGCAGTCAACCATCTGGCATGTTATCTCTCCTGCTTAAACTTCTGTTTCTTATCTCTTTTGCTCTGTTTCAGCCACACTGAACTTCTTGCTATTCCTTACCTATCTCTAGTGCTTAAAAACTCCAGTCACACCTCTGCACTTAGCAGTTCCCCATGTCTGGAATGCTTTTTCCCCAGATATTCTTCTAGCTTACTGTTTCCATTACTTCAGTTTTTTACTTAAAATCCCCTTTCTAAGAAGAAGAAAAAGGGTAAAAAGAAACACATTAAGGAATAACCACTTTCGGAGGAAGAACCATGTACCAGCACAATTCCTAGTCCAGAGAAAAATGAAGAAAAAGAAAAAGAGATAACGAGGACTAACAGAAAGGAATTACGATTGTATCACCAGGACGCATCAGGCTTAAGATTCAATTGGGAGCATACCAGGGATTCTCTCTAACGTAATTGAGGGAAGGTTCAATGAAACAGTGATTTATCATCTCTAACTTCAAACCTATTTGTGTCTTGACATCAACTCTGTTAACATCATCATTTTTTAGAGTCTTTGATGTACAAATAAAAGTTTCTTTGTGTTAAAGAAAAATCCTCTTTCTCATCAGGGACTTTTCTGGCCATCCCAACTTTCCCACGACCCTTCCCATCAAACAGGTAAACATTTCATTTTCCTGCTTTAGTTTTTCTCCTCTAATGTACTGTATATTTTGCCTTATCTGTCTGTTGTTATTGTGTGTTTATCTCACTCTCATGAATAGGGTTTTTATTGTTCATTACCATATCCTTACTTCTTAGAAAAAGGCCTAGCCTATCAGACGTAGCTACCTAATAAATAAGTATTAAATGAATGAATGGAGTTTATCCTGGCTATATTGTTTGATTGATTCTCACTTAAAAAGTGTTTGACAGAGTTCATTTTAACAATTTTGCCTGGTAATTATATGTATTTTTAAAATTCTTTTGGCTTTTTATAATCTACATTCTTTATGTTAATATTTTTTCACTTAGGGAGAAAAGTCCAATATTGTGGTTATTCACTATTCTTTTACTGGTAATCATGATAATTGCAATTATGGTAAAATGAGTCAGAGGAATTGCAAACTTTACTGGTATTTTATTTATTTAGAGATAGAGTCTCGCTCTGTCACCCAGGCTGCAGTGCAGTGGCGTGACCTCGGCTCACTGCAACCTCCGCCTCCTGGGTTCAAGTGATTCTCCTGCCTCAGCCACCTGAGGAGATGGGATTACAGGCGCGTGCCATGAGGCCCGGCTAATTTTCGTATTTTTAGTAGAGACGGGGTTTCACCCTGTTGGTCAGGCTGGTCTCGAACTCCTGACCTCAGGCAATCCACCCGCCTTATCCTCACAAAGTGCTGGGTGGATTACAGGCGTAAGCCACCATGTCCGGCCACTAGTATTTTATTTAAAAAAATATTAGGGTGGTAAATGTAATGGACTCACAAATTGTTTCCAAGGGATTATAGACCTTTGGTATTTGAAATAAAAAGACAGTTGGAATCTTTTGCTTCGGATAGTAAGACTATACTGGTCAGGCACTGTCTATTCTGATGAAGCAGCTGTTGCTGCTTGGCTGTCTTTCAGAAGCAAGCTGCTCACATTGATATTGGTTGGTGAGCAAAGCCAGTGGTCATTGATCGATTGACTAGATTTTGAACTGGCTCTGGGTGGCTTCTTGTTACCATGGCTACAGGTCAATTCTTTCCTAAGTTTGAGTCAACTTTAAACAGAAATTTTCTGTTCAAAAGTTGCCTTCCATTAACTATGTTCAAAATGAAACTTTTTAATATTTCAGAATTGTGGATTTAAAGTTTTGGTTATGATGACTTGGTTAATAATAGCTCTCACGGAGATTTTTTTTTGATACATCGTCTTAACCAGAAGAGTTCTCTGTATAATTTATTTCTTAAAAATAATTGTTTTGTGTTTGTTTTGGGTATTTTTAGAAGCTTTTGCTCAAGTCCTAACATAATCTCCAGTAGGAGATTTTAGTCTGTCAGTTCATGTATGTGTATGATAGTCATATTGTCATATTGTCTTTTTAAATTCCTTTTTATGTTCACTTTTTTCTCTGTACAATAATAGTGATGTTGTTATACATTTTTATCTCATTAAAAAGTAGTTACAGTATTCTGCTGGCAAATCTAGCTTTTTATATATTTTGACTGAATAGGTTAAAAGTGAAAAAAATTTATCAGATCATTCTATTTTCAAACAAAATCATCACTAATAAAAATTATTATTTTGAATTATAAATAATGACATTTAGATATTTTAAAAATAAGGATACCCCCCCACAATAGTTTGGCTTTGTGTTTCTATGCAAATCTCATGTCAAATTGTAATTCCCAGGTGTTGAGGAAAGACCAGCTGGGAGGTGATTGGCTCATGGGGTCGGTTTCCTCCGTGCTGTTCTTGTGATAGTGAGTGAGTTCTCACAAGAGCTGACGGTTTCATAAGGGGCTCTTTCCCCTTCCATTCTCTCTCTCCTGCCGCCTTATGAAGAAGGTTCCTGGTTCCCCTTCACGTTCTACCATGGTTGTTAAGTTTCCTGAGGCCTCCCCAGCCATGCATAACTGTGAATCAATTAATCCTCTTTCCTTTATGAATTATCCAGTCTCAGGTATGTATGTGTATGAATTACCCAGTCTCGGGTATGTACATACGTATATGTGTGAGTGTATATACACACATACGTATATGTGATATATATATATGTGATGTGAGATATATATATTTTTATATATCTCCATTTTCTTTATTCCATTCATCAGTTCATGGACACTGGCTGATTCCATATCTTTGCATATTGTGAATTGTGCTGCAGTAAACATATGTGTGCGGGTGTCTTTGTGAGAGTACGATTTCTTTTGTTTTGTGTAGCTATCCAGAAATGAGAATGCTGGATAAAATGGTAGGATCTATTTTTAGTTCTTTGAGAACTCTCCATACTGTTGTCCATAGATTTGTATGAATTTGCATTCCCACCAGCAGTGTATCACTGTTCTCCTTTCACCACATCCACACCAACATCTGTTTTTTTTTGTTTTCTAATAGTGGCCATTCTGGCTGCAGCGAGGTGATATCTCACTGTCATTTTATTGTGCATTTTCCTGATGATTCGAGATATTTCGCATGTTTTTATATGCTTGTTTACCGTTTGTACATCTTCTTTTGAGAAATGGCTATTCATGTAATTTGGCCACATTCTAATGGAAATATTTGTGTTTTTTCCTGTTGATTTGTTTGAGTTTCTTGTAGGTTATAGATACTAGTCCTTTGTTAGATTCATAATTTTCAAATTTTCTTCCCATTGTATAGGTTGTTGGTTTACTCTGATGATTATTTCTTTTGCTGTGCTGAAGGTTTTTAGTTTAATTAGGTCTTATTTATTTTCATTTTTGTTGCATTGGCTTTAAGGTCTTCATCATAAATTCTTTGCCTAGGCCAATGTTTTCAGGTCTTAGGTTTGGGCCTTTCATCCATCTTGAATTAATTTTTGTATATGTTGAGAGATAGAGATCCAGTTTCATTCCTCCACATGTGGCTCTCTTTTTTTCCCAGCACTATTTACTGAATAACCTGTACTTTCTCCAGTGTATGTTTTTGTATGCTTGCTCAGAGATCACTTGGTTGTAGCGGCTTTATTTCTGAGTTGTCTGTTCTGTTCCGTTGATCTATGTATCTGTTTTTATACCAGTACCACGCTGTTTCTGTTACTGTGGCCTTAGAGTATAATTTGAAGTCAGGTAACGTGATGCCAACATATTTGTTCCTTTTGCTTGGTATGTCTGTTGCTATTCAGGCTCTTTTGTGGTCCTACATGAATGTCAGCATTTTAAAATAATTCTGTGAAGAATGACATTGGTACTTTGGTAGGAATTGTATCGACTATGTAGACTGCTTTGGGCACTGTGGTCATTTTCACTATATCAGTTCTTTCAGTCCATGAACATAGGATGTATTTTCATTTGTTTGTGTCATCTGTTATTTTCTTTGGTGGTGTTTTCCAGTTATCTTTATATAGATCACTCACCTTTTTCATTGAGCATATTCCTAGGTATTTCACACTTTTTTGCAGCCACTGTAAAAGGGATTGGATTGTTGATATGAACTCTCAGCTTGGTCGTAGTTGGTGTGTAGTGGTGCTACTGATTGGTATTCATTCATTTTGTAACCTCTGAGACTTTACTGAATTCATTTATCAAATCTAGGAGTGTTTTGTAGGAATCTTCAGGGTTTTCTAGGTATAAGGTAATATCATTGGTGAAGAGATAGTTTGACTTCCTCTTTTCCAATTTGGATGCCCTTTATTTCTCTTGCCCAATTGCTTTGCCTAGGACTTCCCAGTTTTATTCTTAATATGCATGAAATAAAAGTAAAATGGAAAATGCTTAATGATGAGTTTATTTCACATCTCTCTCTCATACACAGATAAAATTAATTCAAAGTCCTATGTTAAAAACATAATATTAGACCCTGTCTTGTTCTAAAAGGAATTTCTAAGTTGTTTATAAAATACATAGGAATCAAGAATATAAGTGGAAAATGTTTCCAAAAAATAAACACAAAAAGTATGAGTTATAGGCCATAGACCAGTACCAGTCCCTGGCCTGTTAGGACCTGGGCCACACAGCAGGAAGTTAGAGGCAGGTGAGCAAGCAAAGCTTCATCTGTTTGCAGCCACTCTCTGTCGCTCGCATTACCACCCGAGCTGCTCCTCCTGTCAGATCAGCGGTGGCATTAGATCGTCCTAAGAGTGTGACCTGAACCCTGTTGTAAGTTGCTCATGCAGGGGATATAGGTTGTTCACTCCTTATGTGAATCAAATGCCTTTATGATCTGTCACCATCTCCCATCACCCCCAGATGGGACCATCTAGTCGCAGGAAAGCAAGCTCAGGGCTCCCACTGATTCTACATTTTGGTGAGTTATATAATTATTTCATTATATATTAATAATAATAGAAATAAAGTGCACAATGAATGTAATGTACTTGAATCATCCTGGAACCATCCCAAACCTCAGGTTCCTGGAAAAATTATCTTCCGCAAAACCAGTCCCTGGTGCCAGCATGGTTGGGGATACTCGGTTAACAGATGTGAGACCCCTTTGCCTTGTATTGGAATAATGTGCAGATATACATTGTGTGAATGACATCTGATGGCGCCATCTTGCCCTGTAGATCATTTTGGGGACACCTCCAGTATTTCATGAAAATTAATTTTTTTTCTAGTGATGAACAAAATGATACTCAGAAGCAACTTTCTGAAGAACAGAACACTGGAATATTACAAGATGAGATTCTGATTCATGAAGAAAAGCAGATAGAAGTGGCTGAAAATGAATTCTGAGGTATTTAGTTATTTTCAAATGTTTTTATATGTGTATATATTTTTTAAAAACTATGTATTTTGGATATACAAAGGATTTTTAAGTCATATATATGTGTGTATATATTCTATATATCCTTTGTCATGTATCTATATCTGTACATATAGGAGAAAGCCATGTTCTTAATTCAACTCCATTTGCCTGCAACAGTCGAGTAGTGACCTTCACAATGGCCTCAATCCAAAGGAGAAGCATTTGATATTTTTCATAAGAATTGATGATCTTTCCATATCAAAACTAAGTTTTGCTACTAAAAACAAATTTTCTAGTTTTTGGACATTAGTTTTGTTAAAAAATGTTAATAGAGAAGTCAATTGATGGTTTTCACTGATAGGAAAGTAGGAAATGTATAGTTGGGTCAGAGGCCACATTGTGGATGTCATCATCCTTACTTTTGTGGAGAGGAACACTTTGCTCCAAGTAATTTCTCATTTCAATGTAAAGAGGTTTGAAAACAATGACATGCCATGATATACATTTAGTGATAATTTATTGATATGTATTTTGTTCCTAGAGAAATAGTTGAGTATATTTCCCCTATTTCACAGTTACTACTGTTTCAAACATTATAAAGAGGAAATAAAAGTTATCACAATGACAAATAATCTCATGATTTCTAAGAAAATCTCTATAAGTTGCATCTTACTTACCATTCATATTTTGAAACAAAAGGCTTCTTTTGTATTTATATATTTACACCACAGAAGTAACTGTGGTTTTGTGGAGGATCACTAGAAGTAGCATCAGCAGACCTGGGGAAAATCCTGCATCTTGTATATATTTTTTGACTTCTCCTTTTAAGAATCACGATCTTAAATGAGTTCAGTGTTGTATGTAGGAGTGCAATGCTTAGATACAGATGTGTACAGTGTAGAAGGGTACAGTGCTTAGATTTAAGTTATGAATAAATATAATTCTTATAACTGAGTATAAAAATATTAGAAATGTAGAATATCGGTAAAACGTTCTTCAGTAAAAGAAACTTAAAGAACTTTGAGAAATTGCTTCTGTCCAAATATATGCATAGCTAAGGCTCTTAGGATGGTGTGGTTGATAGGTTAGATATCAGAGTATAAACCTAATCTTAAAAATATAGTCAAATGTATTAATCTTATATTTTATGCCTCTGGGTTTTTTGTAACTCAGAGAAAGGCTTTTTTAATTCTGAGATTCTTAAAAATCCTCTAGTGATTTATTTTTCATAGTCTTTAAATAAATATTTAAACTTTTAGGAATTCAGGAGCAGATTCCTAAAAGTTTAAATCTTTATTTAAAGACTATGAAAAATAAATCACTAGAGGAATTTACACTCTGCTAGGTTTGGAGTTTTGTCCAGTTTTTTCCAGTTAAATATCCACTATGGGGATTCTTTCATTATACAAATACAGATGTTATTTTTTAATTTCAGAAGAAATCATGATATATCAATCTATTGAGTGCTAACTAAAAGTTCCCTTTGTTTACTTAGCTTTCTCTTAGTTATAAGAAAGAAAAAGACCTCTTGCATGAAAATAGTACGTTGCAGGAAGAAATTGTCATGCTAAGACTGGAACTAGACATAATGAAACATCAGAGCCAGCTAAGAGAAAAGAAATATTTGGAGGAAATTGAAAGTGTGGAAAAAAAGAATGATAATCTTTTAAAGGGTCTACAACTGAATGAGCTCACCATGGATGATGATACTGCCGTGCTCGTCATTGACAACGGCTCTGGCATGTGCAAGGCCGGCTTTGCAGGTGACGATGCCCCCCGGGCTGTCTTCCCTTCCATCGTGGGGTGCCCCAGGCACCAGAACATGATGGGGGGCATGCGTCAGATGGAGTCCTATGTGGGCAATGAGGCCCAGAGCAAGAGAGGCATCCTGACCCTGAAGTACCCCATGGAGCACGGCATCATCACCAACTGGGACGACATGGAGAAGATCTGGCACCACACCTTCTACAATGAGCTGCGTGTGGCTCCCGAGGAGCACCCCATCCTGCTGACCGAGGCACCCCTGAACCCCAAGGCCAACCGTGAGAAGATGACCCAGATCATGTTTGAGACCTTCAACACCCCAGCCATGTACGTGGCCATCCAAGCCGTGCTGTCCTTGTACACCTCTGGCCGTACTACTGGCATTGTGATGGACTCTGGTGACGGGGTCACCCACACTGTGCCCATCTATGAGGGGAATGCCCTCCCCCATGCCACCCTGCGCCTAGACCTGGATGGCCGGGAACTGACTGACTACCTCATGAAGATCCTCACCGAGCGTGGCTATAGGTTCACCACCATGGCCGAGCAGGAAATCGTGCGTGACATCACAGAGAAGCTGTGCTATGTTGCCCTGGACTTCGAGCAGGAGATGGCCACAGCGGCCTCCAGCTCCTCCCTAGAGAACAGCTATGAGCTGCCCAACGGCCAGGTCATCACCATTAGCAACGAGCGGTTCCGCTGCCCCGAGGTGCTCTTCCAGCCTTGCTTCCTGGGCATGGAATCCTGTGGCATCCACGAAACTACCTTCAACTCTATCATGAAGTCTGATGTGGACATCCACAAAGACCTGTACACCAACACAGTGCTATCTGGTGGCACCACCATGTACCCTGGCATTGCCCACAGGATGCAGAAGGAGATCGCTGCCCTAGCGCCTAGCACGATGAAGATCAAGATTGTTGCTCCTCCCAAGCGCAAGTACTCCGTGTGGGTCGGTGGCTCCATCCTGGCCTCGCTGTCCACCTTCCAGCAGATGTGGATCAGCAAGCAGGAGTATGAGTCAGGCCCCTCCATTGTCCACCGCAAATGCTTCTAGGTGGACGCTGACTTAGTTGCATTACACCCTTTCTTGACAAAACCAAACTTCGCAGAAAGCCACATGAGATTGGTATGGCTTTAATTGTTTTCTTATTTCATTTTTTGTTTTGTTTTTTATTGGCTTGACTCAGGATTTAAAAACTGGAATGGTGAAGGCGAGAACAGTTGGTTGGAGTGAGCTTCCCCCAAAGTTCTACAATGTGGCTGAGGACTTTGATCGTACATTGTTTTTCTTTTCAATAGTCATTCCAAATATTGTGAGATGCATTGTTTCAGGAAGCCCCTTGCCCTTCTAAAAGCCACCCCACTTCTCTCTAAGGAGAATGGCCCAGTCCTCTCCCTAATTCACACAGGGGAGGTGATGGCATTGCTTTCATGCAAATTACGTAATGCAAAATTTTTTGAATCTTTGCCTAAATACTTTTTAATTTTGTTTTATTTAGAATGATCAGCCTTCGCGGCCCCCCTTTTTTGTACCCCAACTTGGGGTGTATGAAGGCTTTTGGTCTCCCTGAGAGTGGCTGGAGGCAGCCAGGGCTTACCTGTACTCTGACTTAAGGAGAGTTGGAAAAAAGTGCACACCTTAAAAAAAATTCAATGAGGAAGCATTAACAAAAACAGTATTTCTGTACAGTGGACAGCTTAGCATGTTGACAACTGAGAATAAAATGCTCAGTTCTGAACTGGACAATGTAAGACACAACGACGAAACACTGGAAATGGAAATTCAATTACATCATTGTAGACTGGCTACTGCTCTACATGATTGTGACCAAAGTCAGAGAGCTGAAAGAGACTTCTTTCCAGAGAACAAGACATGAACAGGTTTATTTACAGAAGACAATGAATTCTCATTTGTCTAACCTAAAAGATTACAGAATCTTTCTCAACAAATCTAATGTAGACAGTAAAATCAACAGGCTAAAAATTAAGTTCCATGAAACAAGATAAAACTCTGAGAGAAAAGATGGGGCAGGCCGCCATCTTTCCCGTTCGGGCAACTTAGTCATTCCAGCCTGAGGGCTTTGGAGAGTACAAACTGACCAGGGAAAGAAGAGATCCCAGAGCACAGCATAGCTGCTTTACCAAATCATGGCCAGACTGCTTCTGTAAGCAGGCCCCTGATCCTGTTCCACCTCACTGGACAGGACCTCCCAACTGGGGCCTCCAGCTACCCCCACCAGCATCCCTTGGCCAATGGAAATTTGAAATGTTCCTGGGACAGAGCTCCTGGAGAGAGGGGCAGGCCACCACCTTTGCTGTTTGGGTGACTAGCCGTTCTGGCCTGCAGGCTTTGGAGAGTCCAAGCTGACAAGGGGTAGAAGAGGTGCCTCAGCACAGCACAGCCACGCTACGAAAACATGGCCAGACTCTTGTTTAAGTCAGTCCCCGAACACATTTCTAGTCAGTGGGTGAAGTCTTTCAACCAGGGTCTCTGGCTACCTTGACTGCTGTTCTCTGGCCGACAGAGGTCTCAGGCCTCCCTGAGTCAGAGCTCCCGGGGGGAGGACCAGATTGTCATCTTTGCTGTTTGGGTGACCCAGCCATTTCAGCCTTAGGGCTTCAGAGTGTCTGAGGTAGCCAGGGGCTGAAGTGAACCCCCAGCACAGCACAGCTGCTCTATAAAAACGTGGCCAGACTTTTTCTTTAAGCAAGTCCCTGTTCTTATTCCTCCTGACTAGGTAAGACTTCTCAACTTGCCTCCAGCCACATCTTATTGGTGTGTTCAGATTGGCAACAGGTTCGTACCTCAGTGGTACAGAGCTCCCAGAGGAAGGGGTAGGCTATCATCTTCCCTGGAAAATACGAGTCAATTAGGGACTTGAGGGGACCCCCAGCATTCCACAGCAGCCCTTCAGAAAAGTGGCCAGACTCTGTACTTGATGGGCAGATCCTCCTGGCCTGTGTCTCTAGCCAGCCCACCACTGGAGCTATCAAGCCAGTAGCAACTCAGCAGTTCCTTGGACAGAGCTTCCAGGAGCAAATGAAATCCTTTCTGCCACTGCCTTTGCAGTGAACTGCCCTTGCTATCCTCAGAAGATATATCACGGGAGCAAAGACCCTAAGTGCCATATCAACACCTCCAATAAGCTGCAGTTGACCCAAAGAACAAGCCAATCCATCTCCCACAGGTACCACACACACTCCACTACTCATCACCAGACAGGGAACCCTGGCTTGGGCCCACAGCACAGACCCTCCATCCTGGGCCGATTACACTGAGTGATTGCTAACTCACATGTCTCTGGGATGGAGCACCCAGGAGACAAGCAAAGTGGTGGAGCAGCAAGTCAGGTGATGTGGAGCCCAGAGGGCAGGGACAGCTATCTCTCTAGGCTCCACTTGCCCTTGTGAGACACTTTGTCCCAGCACTTTAGGAATGCTGAGGTCAGACCAGCCACATCTCATGTGCAAGATTGCCCAGCAGACATCAGGTCTGAGAGTTCCCCTTTTAAAAAAGGGGACTTGCTTAAAAAAGAAGTCTAGCCACGATTGTGTAGAGCAGCTGTGCTGTGCTGGAGATTCACTTTTGAGAGAGTTCTCCTCTGAGACCTGATCTTTAGAGGCTGGGCAGTCTTGCACATGAGATGGGGCTGGTCTGATCTCAGCACTCCTTAGTCTGCTTGCCTCTCCCAGGGCCCCAGCCTGGCCACACCTGCTTACAGGGCACTCTCAGATGCCCATACCATAGTTTCTGTGCTAGTGGACCGTACCATATCAGTGGAGAGCTGCAGCAAGGTGGCACCTACGGCCACGCACCAGCCTGCACATTACCTCTCCATACTGCAGCCCTTTATATGGAAACTTCCTACATCATTTTGCTGTGTGTGTTTACACAGGTGGATTTTGCTTTACTTGCACTGACAGCACACAGGAGGGCAGCACACACCCCAACCCACATCAACTGCCATTAAAGAAAAGAAATTTCAGCCCATTATTTCATGTCCAGCAAAATTAGGCATCATAAGTGAAGGAGAAATGAGATCCTTTTCAGACAAGCAAATGCTGAGGGAATTCAATATCACCAGATCTACCTTACAAGAGCTCCTGAAGGAAGCACTAAATATGGAAAGAAAAAACCATCACCAGCCACTACAAAAATGCAGTGAAGAACGCAGTGAATTACGCAGTCCAGTGATGCTAAAAACCAACCACATACGTTAAGTCTGCAAAATAACCAGCTGACAGCATGACGACAGGATAAAATCCACACATACCATTACTAACCTTAAATGAAAATGGGCTAAATGCTCCCATTGAAAGACACGGGGCAAGCTGGATAAAGAACCAAGACCCACTGGAGTATGCTGTCTTCAAGAAACCCATCTCACATGCGGTGGCATATATAGGCTCAAAATAAAGGAATGGAGAAAAATATTTCAAGCAAATGGAAAACAGAAAAAAGCAGGTGTTGCACTCCTACTTTCTGACAAAACAGACTATGCGAATAAAGATAAAAAAGAGAAGGACATTACAAAGGTGGTCCTGACCTTTGATAAATCTCATTGCTTGATACCAACCTGGGCTGTTTTAATTGCCCAAACCAATAGGATAATTTGCTGAGGTTGTGGAGCTTCTCCCCTGCAGAGAGTCCCTGATCTCCCAAAATTTGGTTGAGATGTAAGGTTGATTTTGCTGTACAACTCCTTTTCTGAAGTTTTACTCATTTCCAAAAAGGAAGGCAAGTTTTCCTGCTTCCATGACGATGGAGAGCAGGCATCTCCTTTCCTGAGTTTCAGCTTGCTTCTGACAGGGAAGGTGAGTGTAAGTTTTTTCCAGCTTCTAAGATGGCAGAGAACGATCACCAGCCTGAGCCTTATTTCCAGGTAAGTAGCTGAATTAGAGTTTTGTCTTAAAATTTTTCCTTAATGAATAAAATGTAAGATTACCCACCAGCTGCTTTTAATTTCTCCTTAGCATTAGAACACTCAGTAATCATATGAATTGTGCATTTGTTTGTTTTGCTTAACTCTTTCTGTTTGTTTATGTTTGGGGTTTTATTGTTGTTGTTTCGCTTTTCTCCCATCTCTTCCTGACTTGGTCAAATCCAAAGGAATGTTCCAAATTATGGGGAGCAAGGCATCTGAAATGGCTAAAACTCCTGTGGCTGCAAAAAATAAAAATAAAAAAAAATATAAAAAAATAAACACACACAAAAAATGAAAAACAAAAACAAAAAACACAAAAAAGCCAAAAGAAAAAACCCCAAAAAAAAACAAAAAAAGGCAAAACAACAACAACAACAACAAAAAAAAAAAAAACCCAAAAAACAAACAAACAAAAAAAAAACACAGAAAATCCAGTTGGAAATTTTTTAAAACTTTTTTTTTATATAAGTGGTCTCATCTACATAACAAGGCCATCTTTTGCTAGCAAAGGCCAAACTGAAGGAGTAATGGTGGGGACCGAATGTTAAGATTCTGCCCTGTTCACTACAGAAACCTGAGTTTGGTTCCTAAGTCTAGTTCTTTCTGTTTGATATTTGTATTGCTTTTAAAATATCAGCAGTTTGTCCCAGCTATGATGTGGTAGTAAGAGACTCAAAACGATTTTCTTTAAAAGTTCTATGATAAAAGCTTAATTAAAAGAAAATTTGTTTTTTTAAAATTATACTTTAAGTTCTGGGGTACATGTGCAGAACATACAGGTTTGTTACGTAGGTATAATATACACATGCCATGGTGGCTTGCTGCATCCATCAACCCATGATCTGCATTAGGTATTTCTCCTAATGCCATCCCTCTCCTAGCCCCCCACGCTGACAGGCCCTGGTGTGTGATATTCCCCTTCCTGTGTCCATGTGTTCTCATTTTTCAACTCCCACTTATGAGTGAGAACATGTGTTTCTGTTCTTGTGTTAGTTTGCTGAGAATGATGGTTTCCAGCTTCATCCATGTCCCTGCAAAGGACATGAACTCATCCTTTTTTATAGCTTCATAGTATTCCGTAGTGTATATATACCACATTATCCAGTCTGTCACTGATGGGCATTTGGGTTGGTTCCAAGTCTTTGCTGTTGTGAACTGTGCCGCAGTAAACATACGTGTGCATGTGTCTTTATATTAGAATGATTTATTATTTTTTCAGTATATACCCAGTAATGGGATTGCTGGGTCAAATGTATTTCTAGTTGTAGATCCTTGAGGAATCATCACACTGTCTTCCACAATGGTTGAAATAATTTATACTCCCAGCAAGAGTGTAAAAGCATTCTTATTTCTCCACGTCCTCTCCAGCATGTGTTGTTTCCTGATCTTTTAATGATGGCCATTCTAAGTGGTGTGAGATTGTATTTCATTGTGGTTTTGATTTCCATTTCTCTAATGACCAGTGATGATGTGCTTTGCTTCACGTGTTCTTTGGCTGCATAAATGTCTTCTTTGGGAAGTGTCTGTTCATATCATTTGCCCGCTTTTTCATGGGGTTGTTTATTTTCTTGTAAATTTGTTTAAGTGCTTTGTAGATTCTGCATATTAGCCCTTTGTCAGATGGATAGATTGCAAAAATTTTCTCCCATTCTGTGTGTTGCCTGTTCACTCTGATGATAGTTTGTTTTGCTCTGCAGACACTCTTTAGCTTAATTAGATCCCATTTGTCAATTTTGGCTTTTGTTGCCATTGCTTTTGGTGTTCTAGTGATGAGGTCTCTGCCCATGCCTGTGTCCTGAATGGTATTGCCTAACACAAGGACATTTCTGTGCCTGAATGCCATACCACCCAAAGTCATTTATAGATTCAGTGCTATCCCCATCAAGATACCACTGACTTTTTTCAAAAAATTAGAAAAACTACCTTAAATTTCATATGGAATCAAAAAAGAGTCCGCATAGCCAAGACAATCCTAAGCAAAAAGAACAAAGCTGGAGGCATCACAGTACCTGACTTCAAACTACTCTACAAGGCCACAGTAACGTAAACAGCATGGTACTGGTACAAAACCAAGTATATAGACCAATGGAACAGAACAGAGGCCTCAGAAATGACACCACACTTGTAAAACCACAAGATCTTTGACAAAACTGACAAAAGTAAGCACTGGGGAAAGGATTCCCCATTTTATAAATAAATGGTGTTAGAAAAACTGGCTAGCCATATGCAGAAAACCGAAACTGGGCCACTTCCTTACACTTTATATACAAAAATTAACTTAAGAAGGATAAAAGAGTTAAATGTAAGACCTAAAAGCAAAAAACCTAGAAGAAAACATAGGCCACCAACCTCAGGGGAAATATACTTGTAATGAAATGCATGGTACAAACGCGCATTCCCTGCTTCCTTGAGTGGGTGAGGTTGGTGGCTGGTCCATCTGCTCCAAGCGTACCCTTACAGAGGTGGCTGGTTGCTCTTTGAGGCAGCTTGGCCTTGCCTGGCATGCACAAGCTTCAGTGCAACAACTGTGCTATAAATGGAGCCACATAGGGGAAATGAGCAGCAGGCTTAGGACCAGGGTGTACACTGCCTTTGGGGCTCCAGTCCGTGCCTCAGGGATGGTATGGCACTGCGAGCTTCTTGGTTGCCAAGAGGCAGATCACAGGCCGTTTTGAGAAGGACTTCATGTTCAACTGCAGAAAGCAGCCAGGATTACCATCTAGGGTACTTGTCCTTCTGTGGCCCTGGCCAGACTTAGAATTTGGGCCAATGCAGGACAAGATCACTCGGAGCTGTGTGGCAGTCGCTCGGGCGTGTGCATGCCAGGCAAGGGCAAGCTGGCTCAAAAAGCAACAAGCCACCTATTCGAGGGTGGACCTGCAGCAGGTAGACCAACCACAAACCTCACTTAACCAAGGAAATACATGGCCTGGTTCCCACAGCCCGAGTGGCTGCCACGTGATGGCTGATAGAGCAGAGGACTTCAGAAAAGCAGATGGCCCTTTGGTCCTACCTTTAGGGTAGAAGAACTGATGTGCCATTTGCGGGAGTGAGTGAGGTTGGTGGCTGGAGAACCGGTGCCTGGCACACCGTGGCAGAGTTGACTGGTTGCTCTTTGAGCCAGCTTGGCCTTGCTCGGCCTGCACAAGCCTCAGTGCAACAACTGTGCTATGAATGGAGCCACAGAGAGGAAACAAGCAGCAAGATCAGGACAGGGTGTACACTGCCTTTCGGGCTCCAGTCCATGACTCGGGTCATATGGCACTGCAGGCTTCTTGGTTGCCAAGAGGCAGACCACAGGCCGTCTTGAGGAGGACTTTACATTCAAGTGCAGAAAGCAGCCAAGATTACCGTCCGGGGGACTCGGCCTTCTGTGGCCCTGGCCAGACTGAGAATTTGTGCCAAGGCAGGACAAGCTCACTCGGAGCAGCGTGCCAGTCGCTGGGGCCTATGCATGCTAGGCAAGGCCAAGCTGGCTCAAAGAGCAACCAGCCACCTGTTCAAGGGTGCGCCTAGAGCAGGCAGAGCATCCACCACCTCACCCACTGAAGGAAGTGGGGATGGCCAGCTTCCCACAGCTTGATTGGCTGCCACCTAATTGCTGATGGAGCAGAGGCCTTAGGAAAAGCAGATGGCACTGTGGCCCTACCTTTAGGGTAGAAGAAGTGAAGCACATGTCTGGCTGCTAGTTGGTGACTGGTGCACCTGCTCAAGGCACACCCTTGCAGAGGCGGCTGGTTGCTCTTTGAGGCAACTTGGCCTTGGCCGGCATGCCCAAGCTTCAGTGCAACAACTGTGCTACAAATGGCGCCATATAAAAACGAGCAGCAGGCTCAGGAGCAGGGTGTGCACTGCCTTTGGGGCTCCAGTCCATGCCTCAGGCGTCATATGGCACTGTGGGCTTCTTGGTTGCCAAGAGGCAGACCACAGGCTGTCTAGAGGAGGACTTTATGTTCAAGTGTAGAAAGCAGCCAGGATTGCCACCCAGGGCACTCGGCCTTCTGTGGCCCTGTCCGGACTTAGAATTTGTTCCAAGGCAGGACAAACTCACTTGGACCAGCGTGTTAGTACCTGGGGCCTGTGCATGGCAGGCAAGGCCAAGCTGGCTCAAAGAGCCACCAGCCACCTGTGCAAGGGTGTGCCTGGACCAGTTGGACCAGCCACCAAGCTCACCCACTCAAGGAAGCAGGGATGGCGAGATTACAACAGCCTGAGTGGCTGCCACCTGATGGCTGATGGAGCAGAGGCCTGAGGTAAATCAGATGGCACGTTTAACTCTTTAATGGATCTTAAGTTAATTTTTCTATAAAGCACATGGCACCAGTCCATGCCTCAGAGTTCGTACGGCACTGCGGACCACAGCAGGCCGAGTCCCCTGGGTGGCAATCCTGCCTGCTTTCTGCACTTGAACATAAAGTCCTCCTCAAGACGGCCTGTGGTCTGCCTCTTGGCCCTACATTTAGAGTAGAGGAAAGGATGTACCATGTCTGGCAGGGAGTGAGGTTGGTGGCTGGTCCGCCTGCTCCTGGCCCAGCCTTGCAGAGGTGGCTGGTTGCTCTTTGAGCCAGCCTGGCTTTGCCTGGCGTGCACACAGCTCAGTGCAACTACTCTGCTACAAATGTAGCCACAGAGAGGAAACGAGCAGCAGGCTCAGGAGCAGGTTGTGCATTGCCTTTGGGGCTCTAGTCCATGCCTCAGGGGTCGTGTAGCACTGCGGGCTTCTTGGTTGCCTAGAGGCAGACCACAGGCCATCTTGAGGAGGACTTTATGTTCAGGTGCAGAACGCAGCCAGGATTACCATCCAGGGGGGCCTTCTGTAGCCCTGGCCAGACCTTGCAGAGGTGGCTGGTTGCTCTTTGAGCGAGCTCGGCCTCCCTGGCATGCACAGGCCCCAGGTACTAACACGCTGCTCTGAGTGAGCTTGTCCTGCCTTGGCTGCCACCTAACTGCTGATGGAGCAGTGGCCTTAGGAAAAGCAGATGGTGCTGTAGCCCACCTTTAGGGTAGAAGAAGTGATGTACCATGTCCGGCCGCTAGATGGTGACTGGTGCACCTGCTCCAGGCATACCCTTGCAGAGGTGGGTGGTTGCTGTTTGAGCCAGCTTGGCCTTGCCCGGCATGCACAAGCTTCAGTGCAACAACTGTCCTACAAATGGAGCCACAGAGAGGAAACAAGCAGCAAGCTCAGGAGCAGGGTGTGCACTGCCTTTGGGGCTCCAGTCCATGCCTCGGATCGTATGGTACTGCAGGCTTCTTGGTTGCCAAGAGGCGGACCACAGGCCTTCTTGAGGAGGACTTTACGTTCAAGTGCAGAAAGCAGCCAAAATTACCATCCATGGGACTGAGCCTTCTGTGGCCCTGGCGAGACTTAAAATTTGTGCCAAGGCAGGACAAGCTCACTCGGAGCAGCGTGTCAGTAGCTGGGGCCTATGCATGCCAGGCAAGGCCAAGCTGGCTCAAAGAGCAACCAGCCACCTCTGCAAGGGTGCGCCTAGTGCAGGCGGAGCATCCACCACCTCACCCGCTCGAGGAAGTGGGGATGGCCAGGTTCCCACAGCCTGAGTGTCTGCCACCTTATTGCTGATGGAGCAGAGGCCTTAAGAAAAGCAGATGGCACTGTGGCCCTACCTTTAGGGTGGAAAAAGTGATGTACATGTCCGGACGCTAATTGGTGACTGGTACACCGGCTCCTGGTACACCTTTGCAGAGGTGGCTGGTTGCTCTTTGAGCCAGCTTGTCCTTGCCCGGCATGCACAAGTTTCAGTGCAACAACTTTGCCACAAATGGAGCCATATAGAGGAAAGAAAAAGCAGGTTCAGGAGAAGGGTGTACCCTGCCTTTGGGGCTCCAGTCCATGCCTCAGGTGTCACATGGCACTGCAGGCTTCTTGGTTGCCAAGAGGCAGACCACAGGCCATCTTGGGGAGGACTTTATATTCAAGTGCAGAAAGCAGCCAGGATTACCATCCAGGGGGACCTTCTATAGCCCTGGCCAGACCTTGCAGAGGTGTCTGGTTGCTCTTTGAGCCAGCTTGGCCTCCCTGGCATGCACAGGCCCCAGGTACTAACACACTGCTCCGAGTGTGCTTGTCCTGCCTTGGCTGCCACCTAATTCCTGATGGAGCAGTGGCCTTAGGAAAAGCAGATGGCACTGTGGCCCACCTTTAGGGTAGAAGTGATGTACCATGTCTGGCCGTTAGTTGGTGACTGGTACACCTGCTCCTGGCACACCCTTGCAGAGGTGGCTGGTTGCTCTTTGAGCCAGCTTGGCCTTGCCCAGCATGCACAAGCTTCAGTGCAACAACTGTGCTACAAATGGAGCCACAGAGAGGAAACAAGCAGCAGGCTCAGAAACCAGGTGTGCGCTGCCTTTGGGGCTCCAGTCCATGCCTCAGGGGTCGTATGGCACTGCAGGCTTCTTGGTTGCCAAGAGGAAGACCACAGGCCGTCTTGATGAGGACTTTACGTTCAAGTACAGAAAGCAGCCAGGATTACCATCCAGGGGACTCGGCCTTCTGTGGCCCTGGCCAGACATAGAATTTGTGCCAAGGCAGGACAAGCTCACTCGGAGCAGCGTGTCAGTCGCTGGGGCCTATGCATGCCAGGCAAGGCCGAGCTGGCTCAAAGAGCAACCAGCCACCTCTGCAAGGGTGCGCCTAGAGCAGGCAGAGCATCCAGCACCTCAGCTACACAAGGAAGTGGGGATGGCCAGCTTCCCACAGCTTGATTGGCTGCCACCTAATTGCTGATGGAACAGAGGCTTTAGGAAAAGCAGATGGCACTGTGGCCCTACCTTTAGGGTAGAAGAAGTGATGTACATGTCCGGCTGCTAGTTGGTAGCTCGTGCCCTTGCTCCTGGCACACCCTTGCAGAGGTGACTGGTTGCTTTTTGAGCCAGCTTGGCCTTGGCCAGCATGCCCAAGCTTCAGTGCAACAACTGTGCTACAAATGGAGCCATATAGAAACGAGCAGCAGGCTCAGGAGCAGGGTGTGCACTGCCTTTGGGGCTCCAGTCCATGCCTCGGGTCGTACGGTACTGCAGGCTTCTTGGTTGCCAAGAGGCAGACCACAGGCCTTCTTGAGGAGGACTTTACATTCAAGTGCAGAAAGCAGCCAAAATTACCATCCATGGGACTGAGCCTTCTGTGGCCCTGGCGAGACTTAAAATTTGTGCCAAGGCAGGACAAGCTCACTCGGAGCAGCGTGTCAGTAGCTGGGGCCTGTGCATGCCAGGCAAGGCCAAGCTGGCTCAAAGAGCAACCAGCCACCTCTGCAAGGGTGCGCCTAGTGCAGGCGGAGCATCCACCACCTCACCCGCTCGAGGAAGTGGGGATGGCCAGGTTCCCACAGCCTGAGTGTCTGCCACCTTATTGCTGATGGAGCAGAGGCCTTAAGAAAAGCAGATGGCACTGTGGCCCTACCTTTAGGGTAGGACGCTAATTGGTGACTGGTACACCGGCTCCTGCTACACCTTTGCAGAGGTGGCTGGTTGCTCTTTGAGCCAGCTTGTCCTTGCCCGGCATGCACAAGTTTCAGTGCAACAACTTTGCCACAAATGGAGCCATATAGAGGAAACAAGAAGCAGGTTCAGGAGAAGGGTGTACCCTGCCTTTGGGGCTCCAGTCCATGCCTCAGGTGTCACATGGCACTGCGGGCTTCTTGGTTGCCAAGAGGCAGACCACAGGCCATCTTGGGGAGGACTTTATATTCAAGTGCAGAAAGCAGCCAGGATTACCATCCAGGGGGACCTTCTATAGCCCTGGCCAGACCTTGCAGAGGTGTCTGGTTGCTCTTTGAGCCAGCTTGGCCTCCCTGGCATGCACAGGCCCCAGGTGCTAACACACTGCTCCGAGTGTGCTTGTCCTGCCTTGGCTGCCACCTAATTCCTGATGGAGCAGAGGCCTTAGGAAAAGCAGATGGCACTGTGGCCCACCTTTAGGGTAGAAGTGATGTACCATGTCTGGCCATTAGTTGGTGACTGGTGCACCTGCTCCTGGCACACCCTTGCAGAGGTGGCTGGTTGCTCTTTGAGCCCGCTTGGCCTTATCCAGCATGCACAAGCTTCAGTGCAACAACTGTGCTACAAATGGAGCCACAGAGAGGAAACAAGCAGCAGGCTCAGGAACCAGGGGTGCGCTGCCTTTGGGGCTCCAGTCCATGCCTCAGGGGTCGTATGGCACTGCAGGCTTCTTGGTTGCCAAGAGGCAGACCACAGGCCGTCTTGATGAGGACTTTACGTTCAAGTACAGAAAGCAGCCAGGATTACCATCCAGGGGACTCGGCCTTCTGTGGCCCTGGCCAGACATAGAATTTGTGCCAAGGCAGGACAAGCTCACTCGGAGCAGCGTGTCAGTCACTGGGGCCTATGCATGCCAGGCAAGGCCGAGCTGGCTCAAAGAGCAACCAGCCACCTCTGCAAGGGTGCGCCTAGAGCAGGCAGAGCATCCAGCACCTCAGCCACACAAGGAAGTGGGGATGGCCAGCTTCCCACGGCTTGATTGGCTGCCACCTAATTGCTGATGGAACAGAGGCCTTAGGAAAAGCAGATGGCACTGTGGCCCTACCTTTAGGGTAGAAGAAGTGATGTACATGTCCGGCTGCTAGTTGGTAGCTCGTGCCCTTGCTCCTGGCACACCCTTGCAGAGGTGACTGGTTGCTTTTTGAGCCAGCTTGGCCTTGGCCGGCATGCCCAAGCTTCAGTGCAACAACTGTGCTACAAATGGAGCCATAGAGAAACGAGCAGCAGGCTCAGGAGCAGGGTGTGCACTGCCTTTGGGGCTCCAGTCCATGCCTCAGGCATCATATGTCACTGTGGGCTTCTTGGTTGCCACGAGGTAGATCACAGGTCCTCTTGAGGAGGACTTTACGTTCAGGTGTAGAAAGCAGCCAGGATTGCCACCCAGGGCACTCGGCCTTCTGTGGCCCTGGCCAGACTTAGAATTTGTGCCAAGGCAGGACAAACTCACTGGGAGCAGCGTGTTATTACCTGAGGCGTGTGCATGCCAGGGAAGCCCAAGCTGGCTCAAAGAGCCACCAGCCACCTGTGCAAGGGTGGGCCTGGACCAGTTGGACCAGCCACCAAGCTCACCTACTCAAGGAAGCAGGGATGGCCAGGTTGCAACAGCCTGAGTGGCTGCCACCTGATAGCTGATGGAGCAGAGGCCTGAGGAAAATCAGATGGCACATTTAGCTCTTTAATGGATCTTAAGTTAATTTTTCTATAAAGCACATGGCACCAGTCCATGCCTCAGAGCTCGTATGGCACTGCGGACCACAGCAGGCCGAGTTCCCAGGGTGGCAATCCTGGCTGCTTTCTGCACTTGAACATAAAGTCCTCCTCAAGATGGCCTGTGGTCTGCCTCTTGGACCTACCTTTAGAGTAGAAGAACGGATGTACCATGTCCTGAAGCAAGTGAGGTTGGTGACTGGTCCACCTTCTCCTGGCCCAGCCTTGCAGAGGTGGCTGGTTGCTCTTTGAGCCAGCCTGGCCTTGCCCAGCATGCGCAAAGCTCAGTGCAACTACTCTGCTACAAATGTAGCCACAGAGAGGAAACGAGCAGCAGGCTCAGGAGCAGGTTGTGCATTGCCTTTGGGGCTCTAGTCCATGCCTCAGGGGTCGGATAGCACTGCGGGCTTCTTGGTTGCCTAGAGGCAGACCACAGGCCATCTTGAGGAGGACTTTATGTTCAAGTGCAGAAAGCAGCCAGGATTACCATCCAGGGGGGCCTTCTGTAGCCCTGGCCAGACCTTGCAGAGGTGGCTGGGTGCTCTTTGAGCGAGCTCGGCCTCCCTGGCATGCACAGGCCCCAGGTACTAACACGCTGCTCTGAGTGAGCTTGTCCTGCCTTGGCTGCCACCTAACTGCTGATGGAGCAGCGGCCTTAGGAAAAGCAAATGGCGCTGTAGCCCAACTTTAGGGTAGAAGAAGATGTACCATGTCCGGCCGCTAGTTGGTGACTGGTGCACCTGCTCCTGGCATACCCTTGCAGAGGTGGGTGGTTGCTCTTTGAGCCAGCTTGGCCTTGCCTGGCATGCACAAGCCTCAGTGCAACAACTGTCCTACAAATGGAGACACAGAGAGGAAACAAGCAGCAGGCTCAGGAGCAGGGTGTGCGCTGCCTTTGGGGCTCCAGTCCATGCCTCGGGTCGTATGGTACTGCAGGCTTCTTGGTTGCCAAGAGGCGGACCACAGGCCTTCTTGAGGAGGACTTTACGTTCAAGTGCAGAAAGCAGCCAAAATTACCATCCATGGGACTAAGCCTTCTGTGGCCCTGGCGAGACTTAAAATTTGTGCCAAGGCAGGACAAGCTCACTCGGAGCAGCGTGTCAGTAGCTGGGGCCTATGCATGCCAGGCAAGGCCAAGCTGGCTCAAAGAGCAACCAGCCACCTCTGCAAGGGTGCGCCTAGTGCAGGCGGAGCATCCACCACCTCACCCGCTCGAGGAAGTGGGGATGGCCAGGTTCCCACAGCCTGAGTGTCTGCCACCTTATTGCTGATGGAGCAGAGGCCTTAAGAAAAGCAGATGGCACTGTGGCCCTACCTTTAGGGTGGAAGAAGTGATGCACATGTCCGGACGCTAATTGGTGACTGGTACACCGGCTCCTGCTACACCTTTGCAGAGGTGGCTGGTTGCTCTTTGAGCCAGCTTGTCCTTGCCCGGCATGCACAAGCTTCAGTGCAACAACTTTGCCACAAATGGAGCCATATAGAGGAAACAAGAAGCAGGTTCAGGAGAAGGGTGTACCCTGCCTTTGGGGCTCCAGTCCATGCCTCAGGTGTCACATGGCACTGCGGGCTTCTTGGTTGCCAAGAGGCAGACCACAGGCCATCTTGGGGAGGACTTTATATTCAAGTGCAGAAAGCAGCCAGGATTACCATCCAGGGGGACCTTCTATAGCCCTGGCCAAACCTTGCAGAGGTGTCTGGTTGCTCTTTGAGCCAGCTTGGCCTCCCTGGCATGCACAGGCCCCAGGTACTAACACACTGCTCCGAGTGTGTTTGTCCTGCCTTGGCTGCCACCTAATTCCTGATGGAGCAGTGGCCTTAGGAAAAGCAGATGGCACTGTGGCCCAACTCTAGGGTTGAAGAACTGATGTACCATCTCCGACCTGTAGTTGGTAACTGGTGCACCTGTTCTTCCTTGCAGAGGTGGCTGGTTGCTCTTTGAGCCAGCTTGGCCTTGCCGGGCATGTACAAGCTTCAGTGCAACAACTGTGCTACAAATGGAGCCACAGAGAGGAAACAAGCAGCAGGCTCAGGAGCAGGGTATGCGCTGCCTTCGGCTCTCCAATCCATGCCTCAGGGCTCCTATGCCACTGCACGATTCTTGGTTGCCAAGAGGCCAACCACAGGCCATCTTGAGAAGGAGTTTATGTTCCACTGCAGAAAGCAGCCAGGATCACCATCCAGGGGACTTGGTCTTCTGTGGCCCTGGCCAGACATAGAATTTGTGCCAAGGCAGGACAAGCTCACTCAGAGCAGCGTGTTAGTACCTCAAATCTGTGCGTGCCAGACAAGGCCAAACTGGCTCAATGAGCAACCAGCCACCTCTGCAGGGGTGCGTCTGGAGGAGGTGGACCAGCCACCAACCTTACCCAGTCAAGGAAGTGGATGGCCATGTTCCCACAGCCTGAGTGGCTGCCACCTGATGGCTGATATAGCAAAGGCCTTAGGAAAAGCAGATGGCCCTTGGCCCTACCTTTTTGTTAGAAGAACTGATGTTCCATGTCCTGCAGCGAGTGAGGTTGGTGGCTGTGCCCCCAGCTCCTGGCACACCCTCGCAGAGGTGACTGGTTGCTCTTTGAGCCCTCTTAGCCTTGCCCAGCATGCACAAGCCTCAGTGCTACTACTGTGCTACAAATGGAGCCATATAGGGGAAACGAGCAGCCATCTCAGGAGCAAGGTGTATGCTGCCTTTGGGGGCTCCAGTCCTTGCCTCAAGGGTCTTATGTCACTGTGGGCTTCTTGGTTGCCAAGAGGCAGACCATAGGCCATCTTGAGAAGGACTTTATGTTCAAGTGCAGAAAGCAGCCAGGATTACCACCCTCGGGACTCTGCCTTCTGTGGCCCTGGCCAAACTTAGAATTTGGCCGTAGACAGGACAAGCTCACTTGGAGTAGCGTGTCCGTAGCTGGGGTCTGTGCATGCCAGGCAAGGCCAAGCTGGCTCAAAGAGCAACCAGCCACCTCTGCAAGGGTGCACCTAGAGCAGGTGGAGCAGCCACCAGCTCACCCACTCCAGGAAGCCGGGGTAGCCAGGTTCCCAAAGCCTGAGTGGGTGCCACCTAATGGCTGAAGAAACAGAGGCCTTAGGAAAACCAGATGGCACTGTGGCCCTACCTTTATGGTAGAAGAGCTGATTTAGCCTGACTGGCAGCGTGTGAGGTTGATGGCTGGTCTGCCTGCTGCTGGCACATCCGTGCAAAGATAGCTGGTTGCCCTTTGAGCCAGCTTGCCCTTGCCCAGCATGCACAAGCCTCAGTGCAACAACTGTGCTGCAAATGGGGCCATATAGAGGAAAGGAGCAGCTGGCTCTGGAGCATGGTGTGCACTCCCTTTGGGCCTTCAGTCCATGTCTCATGGGTCGTATGACACTGCGGGCTTGTTGGTTGCCAAGAGGCAGACCACAGGTCATCTTGAGGAGGACTTTATGTTCCAGTCCAGAAAGCAGCCAGTGGTACCACCCAGGGGACTTGTGCTTCTGTGGCCCAGGCCAGACGTAGAATTTGACAAAGTCAGGACGGTCTCAGTCAGAGCAGCATGTCGGTCCCCGGGGCCTGTGCATGCCAGGCAAGGCCAAGCTGGCTTAAAGAGCAAGCAGCCACCTCTGTTAAGGGTGTGCCTGGAACAGGTGGAGCAGCCACCAACCTCACCCACTGAAAGAAGCAGGGATGGCCAGGTTCCAACATCCTGAGTGGCTGCCACCTGATGGCTGATGGAGCAGAGGCCTGAGGAAAAGCAGATGGCACTGCTTTGTAGTGCTGTTCTTTGTCTCTCTTGATCTTTTTCAGTTAATGTCTGTTTTATCAGAGACTAGGATTGCAAACCCTGCTCTTTTTTGCTTTCCATTTGCTTGGTAAATATACCTCCATCCCTTTATTTTAAGCCTATGTGTGTCTTTGCACATGAGATGGGTCTCCTGAATACAGGACAACAATGGGTCTTTACTCTTTATCCAACTTGCCAGTCTGTGTCTTTTAACTGGGGCATTTAGCCCATTTACATTTAAGTTTAGTATTGTTACATGTGAAATTTATCCTGTCATGATGTTGCTAGCTTTTTATTTTTCCCATTAGTTTGCAGTTTCTTTATAGTGTCAATGGTCTTTACAATTCGATATGTTTTTGTAGTGGCTGGTACTGGTTTTTCCTTTCTACGTTTAGTGTCTCCTTCAGGAGCTCTTGTAACACAAGAATGTGGATTTATTTCTTGTAAGGTAAATATGTGGATTTATTTCTTGGGACTGTATTCTATGGCCTTTACCCCAAGAATCATTACTTTTTAAAATGCAATTCAAATTAGCATAAAACATTTACAGCCTATGGAAAGGCTTGTGGCATTAGAATCCTTATTTATAGGATTATTTTGTGTTTTTTTGAGATATGGTCTTTGTTATCGAGGCAGAAGTGCCGTGGTTTGATCATAATTCACCACAGCCCTGAACTCTTGAGTCCAAGCCATCCTTTTGCCTTAATCTCCCAACCAGTTGGATCTACAAGCATAAGGCATCATGCGTGGCTAATTTTTTCACGTTTTTTTTTTTTTTTTTTTTTTTTGTCGAGATTATGGTATCACTATGTTGCTCTGGCTGATCTCAAATGTTTGACCTCAAGGGATCTTTCTGCCACAGCCTCCTAAAGTGCTAGGATTATATGCATGATACACCATGCCTATTGTAGAGTATTACATTATTTTCAAAGTCTTATTGTAAGAGCCATTTATTGCCTTTGGCCTAAATAACTCAATATAATATCTCTGAAACTTTTTTTTGACAAATTTTGGGGCATGATGATGAGAGAAGGGGGTTTGAAACTTTCTAATAAGAGTTAACTTAGAGCCATTTAAGAAAGGAAAAAACACAAATTATCAGAAAAACAACAGTAAGATCAAGTGCAAAAGTTCTGTGGCAAAGATGATGAGAGTAAAGAATATATGTTTGTGACTCATGGTGGCTTTTACTTTGTTCTTGAATTTCTGAGTACGGGTTAACATTTAAAGAATCTACATTATAGATAACATTTTATTGCAAGTAAATGTATTTCAAAATTTGTTATTGGTTTTGTATGAGATTATTCTCAGCCTACTTCATTATCAAGCTATATTATTTTATTAATGTAGTTCGATGATCTTACAGCAAAGCTGAAAGCTGTATCTTCAAAATATGTCTATTTGACTAAAAAGTTATTCAACAGGAGTTATTATCTATAAAAAAATACAACAGGAATATAAAAAACTTGAGGATAAAAAGATGTTGGAAAAAGTAATATTAAATCTTAAAAAACATATGGAAACTACACAATGGTGGAGACACATTGGTGAAGTACAAAAATATAAATTGGATCTAGAAGAAAGGGCAATGCAGGCAATAGAAAAATTAGTAGAAATCCCTTTAAAGGTTAGTTTGTAAAATCAGGTAAGTTTATTTATAATTTGCTTTCATTTATTTCACTGCAAATTATATTTTGGATATGTATATATATTGTGCTTCCTCTGCCTGTCTTACAGCAATTTGCCTTGCAGAGTTCTAGGAAAAAGGTGGCATGTGTTTTTACTTTCAAATATTTAAATTTCCATCATTCTAACAAAATCAATTTTTCAGAGTAATGATTCTCACTGTGGAGTCATTTGATTATTAAGACCCGTTGGCATAAGATTACATCCTCTGACTATAAAAATCCTGGAAGAAAACCTAGGAAATATTCGTCTGGACATTGCACTTGGCAATGAATTTATGGGTAAGTCCTCAAAAGCAATTGCCAGAAAAACGAAAATTGAGAAGTGTGATTTAATTAAACTAAAGAGCTGCTTCTGCACAGCATGAGAAACTCTCAAGGGGGATTGAACAGACAGCCTACAGAGTGGAAGAAAATATTCACACACTATGCATACAGCAAAGGCCTATTATCCAGAATCTATAAGAGACTTAGACAAATCAAGAAGCAAAAAATAACCCCATTAAAAAATGGGCAAAGAACATGAACAGACAGTTTTCAAAAGAACACATACGTGGCCAACAAACATATTAACACATGCATACCATCACTAATCATTAGAGAATGCAAAGCAAAACATCAATTAGATACCATCTCACACCAGTTAGAATGACTTCTGTTACAAAGTAAAAATAATAAAAATATTTAAATATTCAATAATAAAATGTTATTTAGGTTGAGATAAATTAATTTGTCATTATTCTCAAAACATGGATATTCAAGAATAACCTTATTTCACATGTAATAACACAACAACTACCTTAAAAAATAAAAGCTGGGGCCTAGCACAGTGTCTCAAGTCTGTAATCCCAGCACTTTGGGAAGCTGAGGTGGGCCGATCACGAGGTCAGGAGTTTGAAACAAGCCAGGCCAACGTGGTGAAACCCCATGTCCACTAAAAATACAAAAATTAACTAGGCATGGTGGTGGGCACCTGTAATCCCAGCTATCTGGGAGGCTGAGGCAGGAGAATCATTGGAACCTGGGAGGTGGAGGTTGCAGTGAGCTGAGATCAGGTCATTGCACTCCAGCCTGGGCCACAGGGCGAGACTCCATCTCAAAAATAAATAAATAAATAAAATTAAATGAAGAAAAACAAAAGCTGGAAGTTGTATGAAAATATTAATGCACATACCATCTTTTGAAAATATTCATTGTTTCTCTAGAGATTTCAATACCTATTCTAGCTTATTATAGTAACCTATAATTTGTATTATACCAACTATGGTATAAAAACCTTAAAATGTATATTTTTGTTTTCTCTCTCCTTTATACTATTTATGTCATGCATTATAGTCTCAAATATTATGAATTCCATAATATAAAGTTACTCTTTTTTTAAAAAAATAAGACAATTATCTTTAGAGCAATGTAAAATAATTGGGCTATATATCTTTATATCTTCTCTGGCACTCTTTATTTCTTTGTGTAGTTTCAACTTTCATCTGCTTCCATATTCCTTTTGCCTCAAGAAATGATTTTGACATTTATTTTAGTGCAGACCTGTTAGCAAGGGACTCTTGCAGTGTTAATCTGAAAATGTCTTCATTTCATTGTTATTTTCACTATATAGTTAATGGATGTAAGATTGGGGGTTGACTTTTTTTAAGTTATTTAAAAATTTTGTATCATTGGTTTCTGACTTGTAGAGTTGCTGACACGCAGTTCACTGTAATGGCTATTTCTGTTTATCTCTCTACACAGTGTTCCTATTTTTCTGTGACTGAATTCAAGATTTTTGCTAATCGTTGGTTTTCAGCAGTTTGACTAGTGTGATTATTCTAGCGTTCTTTAAATTTTGTATTTATCTTTCTTGGATCTTTTTGAGTTTATTTGGTCTCCTTAGTCATCTTTTTCAAATTTTTCTTCCCTTACATTCTGTTTTTACTCTCCTGGAATTCCAATTAATTGTATTTTACTTAATTTCATGTTACCAGAGAATTCTTGGATTCACTGGAGTATTTTATTTGCTTGGCTCATTGGTTTATTTTGTTTTTCTCTTTCCTCCCTTTGTGCTACCATTCAAATAATTTGTATTGACCTAGCATAAAATTTACTGCTTCTTTCTTTAGCTCTGATGACCAGTCTGCTAATCAGCTTGCTGTTGTAATTCTTCATTTCTGTTCTCATGCTTTCACTTATTTCTAGCTTTTGCCTTTTACTGTTCCCATCTCTGCTGAAATTCCTCATTTTTCCATGCATGTTGTCTTTTTTTAAGTAGATTCTTTAACATTTTGATCATTATTATTTTAAATTAGTTGCATTTAGTTCCAACATCTGAATTATCTCTGAATTTGATTCTGTTGACTTTTTATCTTTTGAAAATATTATAACTCATAACCCAAATTTCTAACTTGGTTTTATGTGTCTCCCAGTTTCTAAAAAATGCAAATCATCAGATGTAGAAAATCAGTAGATCATGAGATAATTGTTTATGTTGAGATTGTTTTATATTTATGTTTCATTTTGGTTTGTGTCATGCTATTAGTGTGGGCAGGAACAAAGGTTGGTTTTTGCCACGGTGTCTGAAACATTCAGTGAACCACGTAACTCAGATTTCTCCAGCAGCAGGCTGCTATATCATGTGCCTTGTGTGGGGCCTTAGGCTCTGGAGGGCATATTCCAGTGCTCCTGTTCCAGTTATCTTTCCATAGTCCTTACCACATATGTCATAGGAGGGTCTCTCTCCACTTTCTTGTTCCTCTCTAACTGTAGAACATCATGTTGTGTGTGTGTGTGTGTGTGTGTGTGTGTGTGTGTGTGTGTGTGACTAGGCAGAAAATTCAGGTTGGGGGCAGAGGGATGATTCATGTTATTTTTGAGCCAGTTTCATCATTGGACACTCAGAGAAGGGGTATTTTTAGCACTTCCTGACTCTTATTCTAGTGGGAATCAAACTGTCTCATATCTGTGTTGTTTTTTGAGGAAGAAATGATACCTTGCCCTCCTCCCACCTCAGTGGTAGAAAACCTTTGATTTATATCATTGCAAGTTTTCAACCCCACACTAAGGACATACTATTTTATTTCTTCTTCCATAGGAACAATGCACCTTTGTCTGTGTCACTGGATGGAGATTTTCCAACCCTTTACCACAGTAGCACAACTCTGCATTAGTGCAAAATCCTGGGCCCCAAAACAATCCTTGTTCCTCTCCTGATGGAGAAGTATTTTTCTTGCATCCCTCCCCCAGAAGCAGTGATCCTTTGCCTGGTCTCAGGTGGGATAGGGTAGGCTATGAGAGGTTTCTTAACCTTCTCGGAAAGCTGATGTGTTTTGCTGCTTCTTATCTCCCAGAAACAGTAGACTTTTGCGTGGGTTCATGGACCCAGATGCTTTTTTGCCACAGAAAACGAAGGGTTTTGATTCTTAGGAGAGAAGCAAATGTTCATGTAGTCAATTTTTTTCTTATTTATTTTTTGCTTTGTTTTATTATTTCAGTAGTGATGAGTATGATCATTATTTTCCACTTATGCCACTTGCAACTCTAATATTTTGTTTTTATTAGCCCCCCTTTGACAGTTCAGCACTAAATCAAATGCAGATGATCATCAGTTGTGTGAATAAAGTGTTTTTATTGAGAACAAAATTGTTGATATAGACACAAATTAGGATATTATCCTACTTAGCACAATATGTCACTGGCTCAAAATGTAAAATCCTCTTTAGGCTGAACAAAGAATGGTTCTTAAAACTATTGTCCCTTTTTGACAAATAAAAAAAATCCCAATGCTTTTTATCTCATGGATAGATTATTAAAATAATTACATACCTGATCTTCATTTTATGTTCTCTCTCTTCAAGATATTTCCTTCAAAACTACTTTGACTGATTAGTCTCTTTTGAATTACGTTAGACTTTGTATTTTCTCCACAAGCTCATCAGGGTAAATCCTGCCTTTACATTTTTTATAAAAATTCTCTTTTTTTTTTTCAAATCTTAGTTGAGCTGAAAGATTTCCACCAAATGTCTCCTATGCCACAAAGCCTTATTTTACTTATCTCCCCATCCTCCTTGCTCAAGCTCATTTAGGAATATTTTTATTAAAACATTAATGCAATACTGTTTTTTAAAAAATCTGAACATACAGTATTTTCAATTTGAACACAAAATAGTGCTCTAACTTGAAAACAAGTTTTAGAAACAAATGTTTCTAGAAGGAGGATCAACAGTGTCATAAGTATCATAATCCAATTCTCCTGTTTGTACTAAAACATTAGCAAATATTTATTGAGAAATTGCTGTCTGCCTGAAAGTATAATGCTTTTGATACACATTATATCATATAAACTATGTACTATTATTAGTAGTATCTTAAGAGTAAAAATATCGAGTCTTAGAGATGTTAAGCAATGTGCTCAAATAGCATAGGGAAAGTTGGAATTCTGAAATTCCGACTATGCCTTAGGTATGATAGGAGAATCAATGTTTGTCAAATGTAAGTGTCAAGTCATTGTGGGGATTCAGATGCCTCTGATTGCTAGGGTCAATACACTTAAGCAGATCATGTCACTACTTAGTTAAATCTATTTCATTAAAGCAAAATTCCACAAAGATTATTGGCACCAAAACCATTATTTTTCTTCCTCCCTTCCTTCTTTCCTTCTTTGCTTCCTTCCTTCCTTCCTCGCTCTCTCACCTGCCTGCCTTTCTTTCTTTCTTTCTTTCTTTCTTTCTTTCTTTCTTTCTTTCTTTCTTCTTTCTTTCTTTCTTTCTCTTTCTTTTTCTTTCTTTTTCTTTCTCTTTCTTTCCTTTTCTTTCTTTCTTTCTTTCTCCTTCCTTCCTTCCTTCCTTCCTTCCTTCCTTCCTTCCTTCTTTCGAGACAGGGTCTCAGTCTGTTGTCCAAGCTGGAGTACAGTGGCACAATCATGGCTTACTGCAGCCCCAGCTTCCCCAGGCTCAGGTGATCCTCCCGTCTCATCCTCCTGAGTAGCTGGGACTACAGGCAAGCCACTATGCCTGGCTAATTTTTTTTTTTTTTTTTTTTTTTTTGGTAAAGATTGGGTTTCACCATGTTGCCGAGCCTGGTCTGCAACTCCTCAGCTCAAGCAATCCACCTGCCTTTGCCTCCCAAACTATTGGGATTCCAGGTGTAAGCCTCACGCCTGGACAAAAATATTATTTAACAAGTTCAATTTAACTATTAGATTTTGGACAATGAGGGATAGAATTTTCTACATCATAATTCATCTTGTGTTCTTTATTTAAAGTAATACTTAAGGATTTCAATTCAATTCAAATATATTTATTAGCAAATTAAATGGCTTTTTCAGGATTCCAAACTTTTGTTGAAGACATAAATGTTAAATGATGTCACTAATTTTAATTAGATTAACAAAAAGGTATTGTGGTGTGTAATAACAGTGACGGAATGGGCTATTAATTTTATTTTCTTCCTCTTTCTCTCTTTCCCCTTTTTAAAATATTTTACTTTTTAGGCGCTTTGGAATCCTGCAGATATAATAATGATAATTAAACAAAACACTCAGAGAAACTGCCAACCCTAGGATGAAGTATATTGTTACTGTGCTTTGGGATTAAAATAAGTAACTACAGTTTATAGAACTTTTATACTGATACACAGACACTAAAAAGGGAAAGGGTTTAGATGAGAAGCTCTGCTATGCAATCAAGAATCTCAGCCACTCATTTCTGTAGGGGCTGCAGGAGCTCCCTGTAAAGAGAGGTTATGGAGTCTGTAGCTTCAGGTAAGATACTTAAAACCCTTCAGAGTTTCTCCATTTTTTCCCATAGTTTCCCCAAAAGGGTTATGACACTTTATAAGAATGCTTCACTTGTGAAAAACAAATATCAAAGTCTTCTTGTAGATTATATTTAAGGACAAATCTTTATTCCATGTTTAATTTATTTAGCTTCCCCTGTAGCTAATATTTCATGCTGAACACATTTTAAATGCTGTAAATGTAGATAATGTAATTTATGTATCATTAATGCCTCTTTAGTAGTTTAGAGAAAACGTCAAAAGAAATGGCCCCAGAATAAGCTTCTTGATTTGTAAAATTCTATGTCATTGGCTCAAATTTGTATAGTATCTCAAAATATAAATATATAGACATCTCAGATAATATATTTGAAATAGCAAATTCCTGTTAGAAAATAATAGTACTTAACTAGATGAGAATAACAGGTCGCCATTATTTGAATTGTCTCCTATTCGTTTTTCATTTGTTGTGTTACTCATGTTTTACTTATGGGGGATATATATAACTTCCGCTGTTTTCAGAATTATTGTATGCAGTCAGTATGAGAATGCAATTTAAGTTTCCTTGATGCTTTTTCACACTTCTATTACTAGAAATAAGAATACAGTAATATTGGCAAAGAAAATTGACCAGTTCAATAAAATTTTTTAGTAAATCTGATTGAAAATAAACATTGCTTATGGCTTTCTTACATCAATATTGTTATGTCCTAGACACCTTATCTGAAATTACGGCTTCAAAATTCTAATTATGTGCAAATGTGTAAAATATCAATACTTTATGTTCAAGCTGGGGCCTCTTCAGGCGTCCTGGGCTGAGAGAGAAAGATGCTAGCTCCGCAAGCCGGGGAGGGAACACCGCCACATTGTTACATGGACACACCGCCACGTGGACACATGACCAGACTCACATGTACAGACACACGGAGACATTACCACATGGAGACACCGTCACACAGTCACACGAACACACTGGCATAGTCACATGGACGGACACACAGACATATGGAGAAATCACACTGACACACCACCACACTATCACAGGGACACAGACACACGGAGACATCACCACATGGACACACTGTCACACTACCACAGGGACACGAGACATCACACTGTCACATGGACACACCATCACACACATGAACACACCGACACACTGCCATATGGACACTGCCACACACACTGCCACACTGTCACATGGACACACCTCCATACCATCACACCACCACACACACTGCCATGTGGACACAAGGACACACAGACACTGTCACACAGATGCACAAAACACTGTCACACGGAGACATCACCATGCAGATACACCACCACATGGACATAGCACCAGACACTCTGCCACACAGATACACCACCACACAGAAATGCGGACACACTGCCACACAGACACCACCACATCGTTGCCACACTTTCATGTGTCAGCTGGCGGTGTGGGCCCCACGACTCTGGGCTCTAATCGAGAAATTACTTGGACATATAGTGAAGGCAAAATTTTTTTTTTATTTTCTGAGACGTAGTGTCGCTCTGTTGCCCAGGCTGGAGTGCAGTGGCGTGATCTCCGCTCACTGCAAGCTCTGCCTCCCGGGTTCACGCCACTCTCCCGCCTCAGCCTCCCGAGTAGCTGGGACTACAGGTGCCCACCAACTTTTTGTGTGTTCTTAGTAGAGACGGGGTTTCACCTTGCTAGCCAGGATGGTCTCGATCTCCTGACCTCGTGATCCGCCCGCCTTGGCCTCCCAAAGTGCTGGGACTACAGGCGTGAGCCAGCGCGCCAGGCCAAGAATTTCTTTCCATCTCCTGTGTCATTGCTTTGGCAGTGGAAACGCACGTGGCCTCTAAAGAGTGGGTCCCAAGGTCATGAAGGCCTGTGGGGTGGAGGGCAAGGTATCTCTTTCCAGGCTGGAATGGCAGAAGACGCGGCGGCAGAGGGGCTGCATGTCCTCCTCACAGCAGGCCCCTGAGGACCTTTATCCTCCTGAGCCATGAATGTCCCTCAGGAGTGTCTAAAGCACCCGGTGGGGCAGGGGGACCCCTATAGGCCTTAGGAGCTCTGGCCAATTAGTGGTCAGTAAAACGCAGAGGTGAACACCATAGAACCACAGGTCCAGGAGAATTTTGTAAAAGCTCTGAGGATGCCCTTTTTTGTTCTCCCACTGCAAAATTGTTTTAAAAAGGAAAAAAATCCAGCAATGTCTGGGGAAAGTCAATACTGAGTGTCAGCGCGGGATGCTGCCGCTGATAAGATCCCGGCGTCCTGGCCAAAAGTGGCCTCGGGAACCGCATCTCCGCGCACCATGGCAGCAAAGGCCAGTGGTTTGTGGGCGGATGGTGTCCCTGTGGCCATCCCCACTCCTGAGTGCGGAAGGACAGGAGCGGGGACTTCTGGGTGTTCCTGGTGTCAGCCAGCTTGACACCATTGCTGCTCCTTGAAGTCCGGGATTTGGACAAGCACCTGGTTCCTGATGGAGGCCGTGGGCCTCTTGGTCCCCGCTTACCAGGCAGCGGCGCCAGCCTAGTTCTCAGCCCCGCCCCAGATGGGCGCCGCCTTCCATCACGCCAAAGACTTTCCGAAACTGCCCTTCTTGGGCCTGGGAAGCAGATCCTGGGCTTCCCTGGGGCCTGTGGCGCTGGCAGCAGCTCCACGTTGAGGTCGCCTGCAGCCCGCACTGCGGAGTGCTGGAGGTCCTTGAGCCAGGCGTGGGGAGGCCAATCCGCAGGTGCTGGGCGCCCGGTGCCGGTCGCAGTCTCAAAAGCGCCTGGAGGTGACATCCAGGAGCACCACCGCGCCGCCCGCAGGGAGACCCATGGCGAGGCGCGCCCCCTAAGGCGGCCAAGGAAAAAGCAGAAGGACAGGAAGGTGCCCCAGAGCTCGATCTCAGGCCGCAAGCACCGACCAAGTTCCTGGTCTCCGGGAGGTCTTTTTTTTTTTTATTTCTTCCATATTTCATTATTATTATTATTATTAACTTTTCAAGATGGATTAAAGACTTAAATGTTAGACCTAAAACCATAAAAACCCTAGAAGAAAACCTAGGCAATACCACTCAGGACATAGGCATGGGCAAGGACTTCATGTCTAAAACACCAAAAGCAATGGCAACAAAAGCCAAAATTGACAAATGGGATCTAATTAAACTAAAGAGCTTCTGCACAGCAAAAAAAAAAAAAAAAAAAAAAAAACTTCCATTAGAGTGAACTGGCAACTTACAGAATGGGAGAAAATTTTTGCAATCTACCCATCTGACAAAGGGCTAATATCCAGAATCTACAAAGAACTTAAACAAATGTACAAGAAAAAATCAAACAATCACATCAAAAAGTGGGCGAAGGATATGAACAGACACTTATCAAAAGAAGACATTTATGCAGCCAACAGACACATGAAAAAATGTTCATCATCACTGGTCATCAGAGAAATGCAAATCAAAACCACAATCCGGGAGGTCTTGCCAAAGACCACCTGGGCTTTCCGGGCAACGGGCTAGAGCTTCTGGGAAGCAGTCGTGGCCCTTTGGAGATTCCACGGCTTCGGATCCCTACTGCAGGATGCTCCACTGTGTCTGCCGGCCTCTGGCGTTTTGCTGAGGGGTAACCTCGGAATGGCTAGAAACAAGAACACTGAGATGGCCCAGTCGTGCCCCAGGCATTCCCGCACACGTGGTGGCAAAGAAAGGCGCGCAGACAGAGTGCCCAGTCAGCTTGGTCAGAGTTCTTTACAGGTTAGTGACAGACTTGGTCCCACGCTTGTGTCCTCCCATGTTTTCAGTTAACCTGCGGACCCCCAGGGGCTCCTCCATCTCCACCGTGTTCTCCTCGGGCTGAAGCCCAAAGTCCCCCATTTTCTCCTCAAACAGCTCTCAGAGCCACTTCTGCAGGCAGGCGGACAGCGCGTGGACTCAGTGTCTGACTTGGGAAGCCACCTCTGAAGGAACTGCTGGGTGACTATGGTCGTAAGTCAATCAAAGCAGACTTTCCCTGGCTTGCTGCGCTACATTGATTTTGTTTTCGTATTTTAAAAGAAGCAGAAGGGAGGTCCTAGGAAATTTGCCCAGTGCAGATGCTGACAAGAGTGGTGACATGAAAAAGATTACCCAGAAGGAAAACAAGAGCTATTTTCTAAACATCTGAAATCTGTGTAGGCTTTTGGAAAAGTGAAACTAGATGCAAAGCACAATGATGTAATTCTGGCAATTTCCACTGACACAGAACTCAGTCAATCTGAATTAATCTAAGGGTTACAAGGAAAATGGCACTCCAAGAAGTACCTATTAACATCACTCAGCTGCTGTGAAATAGGCTTACAGGCAACATGGAGTGTCAATTATCCAGTGTTTAAAGTCAGTGATACAGATTGGACTAACATATCTAAGGCTCATAAAGTCTTCTTTAAAGGATTGACAGATGGTTTATCTGATATGTAGACCATGATTCTCAGCAGTTAACTAGCACAACTTGCTAATATCAATTGCTTGAGAAAATCAGATAATTGCTTGAGAAAATTAGGACATTGCTTTGAGGAAGTTAGGTAATTAAATAAATTACTTTTTTTTAAGGATAGTTTAATATTTTGGCAAGTAGACTTTAAAGTAGATTGGTAATATTTTAAAGGCTACTTTTAAAGAAATAGCAATATAACATTTAATTATAAAAATAATGTTGGAAACAATTCAACTTTCTATCACAGATAATTTCACAAATATAGAAATACCATCTCAATAATTAGAAGATGTAGCAGCAATTTCTGTCATTTTTATGCAAGTTACTCCTAGTCCATTTATTTGGTTTTAAATAGTGTTTTTAAAATTTGTTTTCCAACAGGGCTAATCATAAATAATAGAATATATTTTACAATAGTTGAAGGTAACAAAAAGTAAGTGCCATTTAAAAAATTGTATTAGATTGTTTAAAAATGTTGTGGGTACATAGTATGTGTATGTATCTGTGGGGTCCATGAGATGTTTTGATACAGGCATGCAATGTGAAATAAGCACATCATGGGGAATAGGGTATCCCTCCCCTCAAGCATTTATCCTTCAAGTTATAAAAAATTCAATTACAGTCTTAGTTATTTCAAAATGTACAATTAAATTATTATTGAATATAGTCACCCTATTGTGCTATCAAATAGTAGGTCTTATTAACTCTCTATTTTTATACCCATTAGCCATCCCCACCTTCCCACAACACCCCCTGCCGCTACCTTTCCCAGCCTCTGATAACCATCCTTATACTCTCTGTGTCCATGAGTTTGTTTTGATTTTAGATTCCACAAATTAGTGAGAACATGTGACATTTGTCTTTCTGTGCCTGGTTTATTTCACTTAACATAATGATCCATAATGTTCCATCAATGTTACTGACAATGACTGGATCTTATTCTTTGTTATGGCTGAATAGTCGTCCGTTGTGTATATGTACCACATTTTCTTTATCCATTCATCTGTTGATGGACACTAAGGTTTCTTCCAAATCTTAGCGTTGTAAACAGTGCTGCAACAAATATGGGAGTGCAGATATGTATTTGACATACTGATTTCCTTTATTTTTGGTATACACCCAGCAGTAAGATTGCTAGATCATATGGTAGCTCCACTTTTAGTTTATTGAGAAACATCCAAACTGTTCACCTTAGTGGTTTTACTAATTTGCATTCCCAGGAGCTGTGTACAAGAGTTCCCTTTTCTCTGCATCCCTGCTAGCATTTGTTATTGCCTGTCTTTTGCATACAAGTCATATAAACTGTGGTGAGATGATATCTTGTTGTAGTTTTGATTTAAATTTCTCTGATGATCGGTGATATTGAGCACTTTTCTTATACCTATTTGCCATTTGTAGGTCTTCTTTTGAGAAATACCTATTCAAATCTTTTGCCCCCCTTTTTTTAGCTAGGTTATTAGATTGTTTCCTAAAGAGTTGTTTGAGTTTTCTATATATTCTGATTATTAATCCTTGTCAGATGAGTAGTTTGCAAATATTTTCTCCCATTCTGTGGATTGTCTCTTAACTTTGTTGATTGTATCATTTTCTGTGCAGAAGCTTTTTAACTTAATGTGATCCATTTGTCCATTTTTGCTTTGGTTGCCTGTGCTTGTGGGGTATTGCTCAAGATATTTTTGCCCAGACCAATGTCCTGGAGGTGTTCCCCAAAGTTTTTCTGTACTAGTTTTATAGTTCGAGGTCTTGGCTTTACATCTTTAAACAACTTTGATTTTACTTTTGTATTTGGTGATAGATACTAGTCTGTTTTCATTCTTCTGCATATGGATATCCAGTTTTTTCAATACCATTTCCCACCAGTGTATGTTCTTGGCACCTTTGTCAAAAATGAGTTCACTGTAGGTACATTTGTACATTTGTTACTGGGTTCTCTATTCTGTTCCATTGATCTATGGGTCTATTTTTATGCCAGTACCATACTCTTTTGGTTGCTGTAATTCTGTGGTATAATATGAAGTCAGAAAATATAATTCCTCCAGTTTTATTTATTTATTTATTTTTGCTTAGGATAGTATTATTTCTTATAGTGAAAGCATTCTATGTTATTTATTATTAGTCTAATTTTGTAGTTTTACAATGCTATCCTCTTTTACAAAGCTATGATCAACTCAGTGTGTCCAGATCAGGATCATTTGTAGCTATTTGCAAAAGTAGCAATATTCTGGCTGGGCATGGTGGCTCATGCTTATATTCCCAGCACTTTGGGAGGCCAAGACAGGCAGATCACCTGAGGTCAGAGGTTCAAGACCAGCCTGGTCAACATGGTGAAACCCTGTCTCCAATAAAAATACAAAAATTAGCCGGGGATGATGGCAGATGCCTGTAATCCCAGCTACTCAGGAGGCTGAGGCAGGAAACTCACTTGAACCCGGGAGGTGGAGGTTGCAGTGAGCCCAGAATGTGTCATTGCATTCCAGCCTGGGTAACCAAGCGCGACTCTGTCTCAAAAAAGAAAAAAAAAGCAATATACTGTGTAATCGTTGACAGCATAATTCACTATTATGTAGATCGGAGAGCAGAGGATTCTGAATGCATGAACATATCATTAACATTTCAATACATTACTCATAATTACTGATGAACTAAAGAGAAACCAAGAAATTATGGTGATAGTTATATTGACCTGGAGAAATGTAGACACAAAAGAACCGTAAGATGAGAAATGTGTTAACACAGTCTATAAGGGCATGCAAGAATAAAAATAGGGGAGAAAACAGGAGAGTTTTTCAAGAGCTTTCTGGTCATGTAAGTCAACTTGTATCGGTTAATTTTTAAAAGGTTTATTTACATGCAATAAACTGCACATACTTCAATTGTACATTTTGGTAATTCTTGGCATTTGTAGCTCTATAAAACCAGCAACATATTAAAATAGCAAACATATCCATTACCT